>NC_000003.12:132796483-132947998 GCF_000001405.40 Homo sapiens | reverse complement strand
ATAAAGGGTATTCAATTAGGAAAAGAGGAAGTCAAATTGTCCCTGTTTGCAGACGACATGATTGTTTATCTAGAAAACCCCATCGTCTCAGCCCAAAATCTCCTTAAGCTGATAAGCAACTTCAGCAAAGTCTCAGGATACAAAATCAATGTACAAAAATCACAAGCATTCTTATACACCAACAACAGACAAACAGAGAGCCAAATCATGGGTGAACTCCCATTCACAATTGCTTCAAAGAGAATAAAATACCTAGGAATTCAACTTACAAGGGATGTGAAGGACCTCCTCAAGGAGAACTACAAACCACTGCTCAAGGAAATAAAAGAGGACACAAACAAATGGAAGAACATTCCATGCTCATGGGTAGGAAGAATCAATATCGTGAAAATGGCCATAGTGCCCAAGGTAATTTACGGATTCAATGCCATCCCCATCAAGCTACCAATGACTTTCTTCACAGAATTGGAAAAAACTACTTTAAAGTTCATATGGAATCAAAAAAGAGCCCGCATTGCCAAGTCAATCCTAAGCCAAAAGAACAAAGCTGGAGGCATCACACTACCTGACTTCAAACTATACTACAAGGCTACAGTAACCAAAACAGCATGGTACTGGTACCAAAACACAGATATAGATCAATGGAACAGAACAGAGCCCTCAGAAATAATGCCGCATATCTACAACTATCTGATCTTTGACAAACCTGAGAAAAACAAGCAATGGGGAAAGGATTCCCTATTTAATAAATGGTGCTGGGAATACTGGCTAGCCATATGTAGAAAGCTGAAACTGGATCCCTTCCTTACACCTTATACAAAAATCAATTCAAGATGGATTAAAGATTTAAACGTTAAACCTAAAACCATAAAAACCCTAGAAGAAAACCTAGGCATTACCATTCAGGACATAGGCGTGGGCAAGGACTTCATGTCCAAAACACCAAAAGCAATGGCAACAAAAGACAAAATTGACAAATGGGATCTAATTAAACTAAAGAGCTTCTGCACAGCAAAAGAAACTACCATCAGAGTGAACAGGCAACCTACAACATGGGAGAAAATTTTCGCAACCTACTCATCTGACAAAGGGCTAATATCCAGAATCTACAATGAACTCAAACAAATTTACAAGAAAAAAACAAACAACCCCATCAAAAAGTGGGCGAAGGACATGAACAGACACTTCTCAAAAGAAGACATTTATGCAGCCAAAAAACACATGAAGAAATGCTCATCATCACTGGCCATCAGAGAAATGCAAATCAAAACCACTATGAGATATCATCTCACACCAGTTAGAATGGCAATCATTAAAAAGTCAGGAAACAACAGGTGCTGGAGAGGATGTGGAGAAATAGGAACACTTTTACACTGTTGGTGGGACTGTAAACTAGTTCAACCATTGTGGAAATCAGTGTGGCGATTCCTCAGGGATCTAGAACTAGAAATACCATTTGACCCAGCCATCCCATTACTGGGTATATACCCAAATGAGTATAAATCATGCTGCTATAAAGACACATGCACACGTATGTTTATTGCGGCACTATTCACAATAGCAAAGACTTGGAACCAACTCAAATGTCCAACAATGATAGACTGGATTAAGAAAATGTGGCACATATACACCATGGAATACTATGCAGCCATAAAAAATGATGAGTTCATATGCTTTGTAGGGACATGGATGAAATTGGAAACCATCATTCTCAGTAAACTATCGCAAGAACAAAAAACCAAACACCGCATATTCTCACTCATAGGTGGGAATTGAACAATGAGATCACATGGACACAGGAAGGGGAATATCACACTCTGGGGACTGTGGTGGGGTCGGGGGAGGGGGGAGGGATAGCATTGGGAGATATACCTAATGCTAGATGACACATTAGTGGGTGCAGCGCACCAGCATGGCACATGTATACATATGTAACTAACCTGCACAATGTGCACATGTACCCTAAAACTTAGAGTATAATAAAAAAAAAAATAAAAAATAAAAAAAATAAAGTCTTGCACAGGAGGTTCAGCTCAGTTATATGAAATGCTAGGTCATGCTGGGAAATGCAACACATGAAAGAGTCCACAGTTGTGTTGCTGATTGAGAGAGACAAAGTGATAATTAGAGGTGAAGGTGAGAGAGACAAAAATATGCATAACACCTTAGGGCAAGATCTAAGTATAACAGAAACAAACGGACAAGCAAAAACCCAAACTATCTGGTCTCTTGGTTAAAGTCACACTTTCTGAAGACACTGATTCCAAACATTCAAATCCTACTGACCACCCAGAGGAAAGTTCCTGGAGATTCCATGTAGTCCCAACAGTGGGCAGAACAGCTTCCTGTGGAGTCTAGGGAGCTACAGCTTCTCCCTGGGGACCAGAATAATATTTCATATATATTCTGAATATATATGAAATAAATGTATACATGTAGGAGAAGTTGGAGAGTTTACTTTAAAAAATCTGTAGGGACTCTGAAGGACTGCTCTTCACAGGTCCACAGCTGTTTGGGGTTTCAAATGCACAGGTTTGCATTTCAATACTGTATCATAGAAAGCTGAGAACACTCCAGGAGTCAATGAGAAGGTAATAGCAATGAACAAAGAAAAAGAGAAAACTATGTAGGAAATTGCAACAAAATGGCAAACCCTAACAGGCAGGGGTAGGTGGAGCAGGAGCAATCAGATCATGGAGCACCACACACCTACATCCCCCCGCCACCCCCCCAACACACACAGCTATGCAAACACAGCTTCTCAAGTGTTTAGGCCACAAGAGTAGCTCTGCTTTGCCACTGTGTCGTGGCATTCTTCATACATGCACCCAAAAGGATATTAGGGATACCATATTCTCATCTTAAACAGTGGTGAGCACCACCATACAACTTTCGCCTGCGACTCTTCTTAAACCTCTCAAACTGAGAGCTTGAGGGAGGAGAGTGAGATGAAAATGGCAATAGCTAAAGAGAAGATACAGCCTTCATTTTTCTTTGGAGTAAAAGAAGTTGTGCCAGCATCCATGGTTACTTGTGCCATTTTGACTCATTTGCCAACACACTTACATAGTAGAATTAAAATTAGCATCCTTCCCACTTATTAAATTGAAATATCCTCTGTAGCTCTCATAATTTGGCACTGATATGAAAGACTGCAGTGAAAAAATATGTAGTTGGGTAAGATATGTAATCAAATGCTAAAGGCAATCATTATTACTAGCATAATGCCAATTATTTATCATAATATTGTGGAAATCAAGAGCATGAAAATTTCATCCAGAATAAAGTGTCTGTTTTTTAATTAGACAAAGTTAAGGTAGGTTCACTCTGGAGTCCACAGTTCATCTTACCAGCACTGTGCTGTTGATAGTGAGTGTATTGAGTGATGCAGCATACCACATGATTCTAAACAGAGCACGGGATATCCAAGACATATTTTGCAATTGTATAATGGTCAGTGGGTTTTTTTGGACATTGAAATTTTTATTATTGCAAGATGTACACAAAACTGTGCAGAAACTTCTCCAAAACAGTATAAAATAGTTAACATTAAAGACACAAATCTGAGGAATTTATTTCTGCAAATGCTGGTGCAAGAGAGGATCTTTATATTCAGGAAACATCAAGCAAAGTTAGAAAATTACTTGAAAGAGGTGCAACAAACTTAGAAATCCAAATATTTTCTGCAACTGTACAAAATATGCCCTCAGATTATTTGGGCAAGGTATTATCATGTGTTGAGATGAAAAATTAAGAAAGAAAAAACTTTTGAAAGCCAGTAATCCTTTGCCAGCTGCTAGAGTATTATGACTGGCAAAACTTCAGGTGGCATGCACATGTTCTTATAGAAAGTACAGGTTAGAAAAAAATATAAAAATGACACTAATATGTATTTTTAAATACAAAATGAGCAGAAGTTCTAGAAAGAAGCCATGTTCCAAATCAACCAGAGTTTTTGGTATAATTGATTCTTCATTGCTCAGAGAACATTGCTGTGGCTCTGTAACCTATGGAGGTGGGAACCCTCACAAATTTTAAGATATGTGGATTTGATGTGACTGTAAAATTTTAATATCAGCCCTTCTGGCTTAAAGTTTATACCTTCTGTACTTGCATTCTTCTTAGTTTCAGTTTTGCAAGTCTCAGCAAAATATGTGTATAATCCTCAGGCAAATTCACAAATTTTGATGCTGCTGAAAGACATGTTTTCTGAGCTTACCTTTCTGTCCGTAATTGAGTAGTAGAACACAAAGAAGTCTCACCCCACAGGACCTTTTCATGTAGTTTACAGGAAAAGCAGCAGTATTTGTTGTCACCTACTTTGAGGACTGAGACAAACTCCGTGAATGTTGGCCAGTCTCCTTATATTATTAAATTCATACAGCTACAACTCAGGACTTTAAAATTTGAGGCCAGAGATCTTTTTACTACACCCAAGATGGCAAATTCATTTCATTTTCAGTGCCAGTTTTGATTGATAGGCAAGGGCTACCTGGAACCTCTATTGAATAGCTACATCAGGATTTACCAGAAAGTGTGTTGTAATTGATCAGTGATGTCTGCTATGCTTGAAGGATGGTGAGCATGACAGCAGAAAGGTGGTATATTTGCTGACCCTAAATGATACTATATTCTCAACAAAAGTTATCTTTTCAATAAAGCTTCCCTAAGGAACTATTTAAACTATCATTTTATTTACCAATAGCTATCCACAAACATGTCCAATTAACACTTACTCATTCTATAGATTCAGTTCAAACATGACTTCTTCAGGGAAGCTTGCCTTGACCAATTTTAGGTCACTTTCTCTTGTGATGTTTCTTTTTCTTTCTCTTTCTTCTTTAATTCACTTTGAAATATATATTCATTAGGTTTTCTTATTGGGTTAATGACTATATTTTAACCTCACAGGTAGTAAGCTCATGAGAGCAAAGACCATGTCATTTTCTCTTTACCATTGCATTTCCAGTGTCTAACATAGTTTCTGGCACTTAGTAGACACTTACTAAATATTTGCTGAATTGAAATTGAACATTGAATTGAATTGAAATGCAGAGATTTGTTTACTTTTCTCTTAAATTTCTGAGACCCAGGCCAGGTATATTATCTTTCATTGCATATCCTTCCAGGAGACTAAGGCATATGCACACACATTTATTTGATCAAGGTTACAAACATGAAGATGTTGGAATTTGAAATCCTAAGTTTCTGAGTTTTCAGGTCTATTCTTAACTCCTCCATGTCTATAATGTGCACATTACCTGTGTTGCTATCAGAAGATGTTCATTTTAAGTTATAATCAATGGTGACAGAGTCAGGAATGAAAACAAAAATCTTTTTATTTCAATAGAAACAGTATGGTATAGTAAAGAAAGAACTAGACTTAAAGTCAAAAGATCTGAATTCGTGTCCTAGCCCTGCCATTTATTAGCTTATTAACCTTGGAAAACTAAATTCATCTCTCATAATCAGTAAAATAAATGGACAGAATGAGTAGTAGCTTCAAAACTGTTTTTTGTAATGGGAACATTTCTTAACATGAACTTTCAAAAATCTCATATAGAAGCGCAACGTGTGAAAGAGATAAAGTGGAGCTACTCTCAGCGAAGGTGCATGGTAGAGAGCATACCTGGAATTCTGCTCATGCAGCTTCTCCTGTACCTGCAAGGAAGCCCCTAAAGAACACACAGGAAGCCCATTTGAAAAAAAAAGTAATTTGGGAATAATTATTAATTTACAGGAAGTTGCAAAGATAATACAAAGAGGTCCTGTGTACCTTCATCTAGTTTCCCCCAATGGACCAATTTTTAAAAATTCTTTGACACAGGAATATAGCTCATATTCTTAACTCAGTACTTAATGCCACTAAATTACACTTACAAATTGTTAAAATGGTAAGTTTTTATGTGTTTTTAAAATGCAATAAACATTTCCAGCATCATGGATGGAACTGGAGGTCATTATGTTAAGTGAAATAAGCCAAGCACAGAAAGACAAATATCACATGTTCTTACTCATATGTGGGAACTTGAAAAAATGGATCTCATGACAATAGAGAGTAGATTGGTGGTTACCAGAAGCCGGAAAGCATAAGAGGGAGAGGGTGATGAAGAGAGTTTGATTAATGGGTACAAATATATGCTTAGATAGAAGAAATAAGATCTGGTGTTTCATAGATCAGTAGGGTGACCATGGTTAACATTAACTGATTGTACAGTTCAAAATAGCTAGAAGAGAATAATTTGAACATTCCTAGCAGAAAGAGAAGATAAATATATAAGGTGATAGATATTCCAATTATTCTGATTTGATTATATGAATGCATCAATATATCACATGTACCCTGATAATACATACATCTAATTATTTGTCAATCAAAAATTAAAAAGAAATAAATAAAATGCAACAAAAATCATTTTAAAAATGTTAAAAAAAAAAACCAACCTTTTGGACCTACTACTGGATATATCCTTCAAGGCCTGTCTGGCTCCAAAATTCATGATTGTATGAATAATGAATGTTTGATCATCCCCATTGCATTCTAGAATCAAGGACTTTCAGAGCTTGAGCATAACTTAGACATCTGATACTATCAGATCAGAACTATATCTTACACACTATAGTTCAAGTCTTCTGCTTCTCTTTAGGGCTTCTTTGTTATGAAGGTCAACTAGAGGCTTGAATTCAGCTTCTAACAAATGTGCTTCACAGTGGTGGTTTTTATTATTTTCTACTTGCATTTTTTTCTACTAATAATTCCCTGTTGACTTTTTTATGGTTTCTAGGAGCAAGTTCCTTGGGTTTACTTAACTCATTTTGATTTATCTAACGGTGGAATTGCATCCCTCTCCATCCCGCCTCAGAATGGGCTTGGCAGTCTGCCCTTATATTATTTCCCATTTCCAATGCTGTATTATAGTGTTTTTTTTATGGCCGCACCAAGACATGTAGGCTGCACTGAAATGGCTGTGGCTCAGCAAAACTCCCTTTTCTTGTTCTGTTTGTAATTTTTTTCTTCTAAAATATTTACACATACATATACTTGCATATAATTTTACATAAATTCAATAAGTGTGATCATATCATACATACAATTTTTTATTGCAGTATTGTATTTTGGTTTAGCTTTTCCTTTCCCATATACCTCCCTCTCAATCTATATTCTTTCCTCATAGACACAAAAGTTATCCATACTAACAACTTACTGTATATACTTTCATATTTTTATGCTTGTATTCATAAAAAAACCACTATACATATTGTATATACATATTTATAATGTATATATGAATATAAGTATACACATAGAGAGGTTTTGTCATTATCTTGCAAAAATTTGAACATACACATATTTTTAAATCTTGCTTTTTCTTACTCGACAATAACTCTTTCTAACAACTGTGTAACACTTTATATTGCAATATGTTGTAATTTATTCAATGACTCTCCTATTGATGGGCAATCATACTGTTTCTACTTGTTTTCTTTTGTACCCATAAAATAATGCTGTCCTAAATATCCTTGTGCTTTCATTTCTATGGGACAGATACCTAAAAGAAGTATTTGTGAGTCAAAATATATATGCATTTTAAATTTTGACAAATAACAACAGATTGCATTCCAACAACACCAAAGGCAATTTACCTTCTCACCAGCCTCCTATGATAGTACCCTTTCCCCAGTATCGCTGTCAACAACAGAGGTTGTCATCCTTTTCCACTTTTGCCAGTCTTAAGTGGTAATGCAATGAATTAGTTTGATAATATTTTCATATGTTCCTCGGACATTTGGGTTCTCCCATTTTCCTGTTGAGTTGTATGTCTCTTTCTTGTTAACTTTCCTAACCCTTTTGCCTTAGAAATATTAATATGTTCCCTTGTTGCAAACATTTGTCCCACATCTATTATCTGTTGGTTGACTTCGTTTATAGTAATTTTTTGTAATTATACCTACTATGTATCAGACATTTTTCTATGTACTGAGGATTCAACAGTAAAAAATTACACAAAAATATCTTCTCTCGGACACATATTCTAGTGATAAAAGAAAGGAAATTAATCAATTAATCAATAAATAAACATTGTTTATTCTATTTTTAATATGATTTTTAAAAAGATTCATGTGGTCAAATAAGTCTGACTTTTCTTATAGGACATTTGGGATTCCAATTTTAGTTAATAAGCCCTCCCCCAGCCCTCAGTTGTTCATGTCTCCTAGATTTCATTGCTCTTTTAATTTTAAAACATGACTAATATGACTGTTACACAGGTTAAAATTAAGCAATATCTTTAATTCTCAGAATTTTGTTGAATTAATTCATTGTAATTATATCAGCTCCAATCCACAGCTATACTTTTTCATATAATTTATCAGGGGTTCTGCTGTATATTATAGTTAATTATTAATTATTAGATTGAGCATACAAAACTGCCACTTTTGTAGGTAAAAAAATGACTGAATATCACTAGTTTTATATGATTCAATCTATAGATAAAGAATGGAAAAGAAACACTCATTAAGGTCAACTATTTGCTTAATACTATGAAAGACATATGCAAAACTTTAATTCTGTCGTCAGCACTTTAAGGTAGGTAATATTAGCTACTTGGGTTTTGTTGTTTGGTTTTTTTTTTTTTTTTTAAAGAAACATGCTTATAAAAGTAAGGTATCTACTGTCTCACAATTACTGAAAGGAAGATTTAGGATTCATCTCATTTTGTTAATACCCAAATGTATTTCTTTGTCATTAGAATTTAATTCAACAAGAATTTAGAAAGCACTCTACAAGACTTTGAATATTGCTGAGAACTTTTAAAATGGTGGACAAGTTCAGCACCTACAACAGCACCCAACTCAAAGAAATACCCAATAAATGTGAATTAAATGGAATCCTTTACCTACAAGAGGTTGCATCATAGTGAAAAAATAAAACATACACAGGAAATCAGTGTGAGAGAAATTCCAAGTATCATATGGCTATTATAGATCAAACATATGGGTTTTATGTTTGTTTTATTTTTTTCTAATAATACATGTTACTTTGATATATGCAGAGAATAGTACCTAGCACGTAGTAGGCATAAAATGATTATTGGTTTCTTCAATTAATGAACACCATTCCCACACACATAGAGTTTTAAAACCCACTCTCATTAATTTTTAATTTCCTCATTTAGATAATAGAAATCATTTCTATCCATTTTAACTTGACATTAGATTTTAAGTAGTTGCCCATGCCATTAAATATTCTTATAAAAACACAAATTTTTGACAGCTGTAAATAATTTATTACACAGATGAAATTAATTTATTTACCTGTTGCTTTTCCCCTCCTAAACATCTAAGTTGTTTTCAAGTTCTTGTTCTAATAATAATAGTGTGACAAACTTACTTAGACATATGTCTTTGTTCACATCTCTGAATATTTCCTTAGAGCAGATTTCTGAAATTATAATGGCTGAGTCAAAATCAATGAAGATTGTTAAGTCACTTAATATATATTACCAATTTGCTCTTTAGAAATATGGTATCAAGAAATGATCCTTTTAAAATTATATTTGGACATGGGTATGTTCAGTATTCTGGAAATTTATTTTTAAACTAGCCTGTGAATATTTAAATCTAAAATACTCAAAAAGTCATTTAATTTATTTCTTATCTCAAATCTCCACTAAACTTCCTGTATCCATGCCAAGTTGGAAATAACCATCCACCCTCTCAATCAGTGGCTCTCAAGCTGGAGTCCAAAGACGTGCTTTAAGGAGTCCTTGAACTCCTGGGTATTACATGCAAATTTAGGGTGTATCTTCAAATTGTGCAGGGGCTTTTTATTCTAGAGATGATATCTATGTCTTTTATCAAATTTTCAAAGGGGCTCATAACTCAGAAAAGATAAAGAACTTTATCTTCATGGTGGATGTAAATAACAGAGCCATAATTTCAAACACTTTTGTGGGAGAAGGATAATATAGGTTAGCTTTCAAAGAACTTCTGCCTTTGAACTGTAGGCTATGTGAAATCTAAAATAAACAGAGAGCATATGTAGTAAAATATGTGATTAAAAAGGGTGGCCACTAATGGCCGTATTTGCCTACAGACAAATTGAAGTTTGGAAAGCAGATTAGTGAAGTAGCCATGTTTTATGAACTTCTGGTCTTTATTAAACACAGTGCCATTTAGTCTCCCACTTTTGTAGAGAACATCTTTCTCAAACCAGTACTTCAAAGCTATAGGACTTTTTTCTCATTTTACCTCTAACTCATACTAATTACAAAGAAATGAATATTTTATTATCTTTCTTATGGTAACCTAAGGCTATTGAATTTTGGAGTCAGAGCCGTTATTTAATTCTATCCTTAAAATATATTATTAAAAATGACTTTCTTCATAAAAATGCACATAAGTATGTGTTAAAATTTCATGATAGTGAAGTATGAAGCATTATTTTCTTCTACAGAACCAGCCACATTGCAACGCAATTAAAAAGGATAAATTCCTCAGAGTCACATTGATTAGGATTCTTTCCTCTCTTCTTTGTGGTTGCTTTTTAATTAGTTTGTACCAAAGCCTAAACTTGGCCTGAAATCCTCTCTTCTCCCTTTGTCGGAAGAAAACCACTCGTATCTCTCTGCAGCACAATAGTACCCTCGGGTATTCTACAGAACCACAAATGTCCTTCAACCAAATGTCAGGGCATTGCATTGTTGTAGAGCATCTTCCTCCTTGGGCTGATGAGAACTCTCTGAGGGTTGGGCTGGTGCCCCCACAGGGAGAGCTCTGCTCCTCCTTACGCCTTTAATAAGCAATCAGCAGCTTGGATAAGGGCAGACAGCATTCTACAAACAAGATACAAAAAAAGAAAATGCCAAGCATGTGGAAAATTTTCCTCATTGAGCTCACTGAATGAAATAGCGCAGAGGCAAGCATCTTTCCTGAAGTGGGGTTCCAAGCCTCATCTGTCACGTGACAGGATAAGAACTTGTGTCCATTCTTACCAGTGTTGGTTCCATTTCATCAACCATGTGTATTGCCAGCTGGAAACAGGTCCTTTAGCTCTCCACCTCCTCTGGTCTGTGGTTTTCACATCCCCTTCTCTACTGTGTGTCATCATAGAGCTCATTCTTATATGATAATGAAGGCTAAGGAAAAATCACTTGACTCTTACGTTATTCAAAAAATATATAAGGATATTCTTTAAAGAGATACCTTAGGCTAGGTGCAGTGGCTCATGCCTGTAATCCCAGCACTTTGGGAGGCTGAGGCAGGTGGATCACGAGGTCAGGAGTTCAAGACCAGCCTGACCAACATGGTGAAACCCGTTTCTACTAAAAATACAAAAATTAGCCTGGTGCGGTGGCACGCACCTGTAATTCCAGCTACTCAGGAGGCTGAGGCAGGAGAATTGCTTGAACTAGGGAGGCGGAGGTTGCAGTAAGCTGAGATCACACCACTGCACTGCAGCCTGGGTGACAGAGTGAGACTCTGTCTCAAAAGAAAAGAAAAGAAAAAGAAAAAGAAAAGAGATACATTAGTGGAAAACTCAGCCAATGATTCTAGTTCATTACCCAACAAAAGAAAATATCCCTTTACTCCTTACAAAAGAAAATATCCCTTTATTACATTGATATGTTTCTTCTTTTATAATAGTCACAATTTATTAATTTACTTTGTTCCCCTTACAATTCTAGGTGCTTAATGTATCTTGTGTTTATTCAAAGCTTACAACAATGTTGTGAGGTAGGTGTCTGTGATGGTTAATTTTATGTGTCAACTTGACTGGGACAGGCAGTGCCTTAGATAGTTGGTTAAATATTATTCTGGGTATCTGTGAGGGTGTTTCTGGATGAGACTAACATTTGAACTGGTAGACTGAGTAATGCAGATTGCCCTCCCCAATGTGAGCAGGCCTCATTCAATCTGATAGAGGCCTGAATAGAATAAAAAGTGAGGTAAGAGAGAATTCATTCTCTCTGCCTGACTGTTTTCAAGCTGGGACATCAGTCTTCTGCATTCAGACTGGAACTTACACTATTGGCTCTTCTGGTTCTCAGGCCTTCTGACTTGGATGGAATTACACAACTGGTTCTCCATCTTCATCTGGACTGCATCTCCAGCTTCAGACAGATGATTGTGGAACTTTTCAGCCCCCATAATCATGTCAGCCAGTTCTTTATAATAAATCATATGTGTTATATATTATTTATTTATTATGATAAATCATCTATATTTATAATTATATAAATAGTCATATATAAACTATATGTTTACATATCACAATTATATATGCATATATACACATATCATACATAAGGACATAGATATCTCATATATATCACATATATATATAATATATATATATATATATATATATATATATATATATATATATATCTCATATACACATATGTTCTTTTTCTCTGGAGAACCCTAATAGTGTTATTGTCTCTATTTACTAATGAAAGAACTAAGCCTCATAGAAGTTAAGGGAGAGACCCAGGTTCACCATGGAAATAGCTGATCTTGAATTTAAACCCGGATCTCCTTGACATTTGAGACCATGCTCTTAGCTACAGCTATACTGTACTACAGTGGTCCCCGAATTTTTTGGCACTAGGGACCAGTTTCATGGAAGACAGTTTTTCCAAGGATGGGGTTGGGGGTGGGATGGCTTCAGGGTGAAACTGTTCCACCTCAGATCATCAGGCACCAGTTAGATTCTCATAAGGAGCGCACAACCTAGATCTCTCACATGTGCAGTTCACAACAGGGTTTGTGCTCCTGTGAGAATCTAATGCTGCCGCTGATCTGACAAGAGGCAGAGCTCAGGTGGTAATACTTGCTCACATCCTGCTGTGTGGCCTGGTTCCTAATGGGCCATGGACCAGTACTTGTTCATG
The DNA here is from genome assembly GCF_000001405.40 of Homo sapiens. NCBI lineage: Eukaryota > Metazoa > Chordata > Mammalia > Primates > Hominidae > Homo > Homo sapiens. Next base: position 132,935,102 of record NC_000003.12, on the reverse strand, counting down.
GCCCAGGGGCTGGGAACGCCTGGGGTACTGCTTTAAATATGATCTCACCTCTGGAACTGGCCTCTTGTGAGGGCAATGCATTGGCATTTGTCTCTGGATAGAATCATCCAGTAAAGTGAATTATTTAAAAGAGTTCTAGGTGAAATGCTATGTAGGAATATGTCAGTCAGGGTCCCATCAGGGAAGCAGACTACTATTAATGATGTGGAGTAAGTGATTTATTATAGGAATTTGATCTTACACAGTTGTGAGGTCTGGTAAAAAGTCTATGAAAGGTTTGTTGCCCCTGCATCTGTTGGTGGGCCTGAAGTGTCAGCAGGTCAGTGGAGCTAATAGTAGGGAAGCAAAGCTGGATATAAAGCAGGAGAGAGAGGAAAAAAACTGGAATCCGCATCAGTTCCTTACCACCTCCAACTTTGATGACACAGGTGATCTGCAGAAAATGCTAACACTTTTTGCTACATTGCGGCATATGCACCTGGCTTGGGACTTGGAGGAACTGAAGGAGATCTTGCGAAGCTGGAGGAGCTAAGGGCTGGCTGTGGCCCCACACCAACAAGGTGAGACAGCAGATTAGTGACGATGTGTGCAAGCAGCAGTGGTAGGTGGTGACCTACACTGACCTTGCTTCTTCACTTTCCGAATCTCATGCAAATATCTCTTGTGGCCAACCCTAACCTAGAGTCATACAGGAAAGGGAATTTTGGGGGATGAAATTCCAGATTAGTTAAAATAACACATCCCAAAACTGCCTCAAGGAATTATTGAAGGGATTGTGTTATTGGAGACCTATGTTCGGCACACATCCACACTGCCAAATTAACTTTCTCTACCCAGAACGCCTTCCTTCTCTTCGCCTTTTGCTAACAGACTCTGCCTCCCTACCAACTGGGTGAATAAAACAGACTGTCCCTGACTTCGTGGAACTTATAAACAAGCCTACAACTTTGAGAATCAAAATATTAAATTCATACACGTGGGTAACTCAAAGAGATTTATCATGAGTAAAGTCATTTTAATTACATGGGAGAGTTGAATACATTGGTGATCCATGTTCTGGGAGACTCTCCCACTCTACTCTCTACAAAAAATACTGAAAAAACATCATCACACTGCAACTAGCTATTTGCTCAAAGGGTTGCCATATCTTAGATGCACATTTTCCTTCTGAATTCCTCTGTTTTGGAACTATATAATGGAGTCTATAATAAAATCTGTATAATAGAAAAGATTTCTCTTATTCCAATCAAGGGTTCCTATAAGCCATGGAATGATTTTTAAGCAATGAGAATGACATGGTCAGATTTGTGTTTTAAAAAGATTTATGTGTGAATGTAGAAGAGAGGAGCTAGAACAGGTGTAGGTGATGAATTAGCCTGGTAGTTGGTGAGAATCTGGTAGTCTGGATATGGAAGGTGATGTCGGAGAAGAAGAGAGGCAAGTAGATTTCAGAGACACTTGAGAAATGAAATCAATAATAATTGATAAATCAGATATATGGTGAGGGAAGAAACTCTTCCTAATTTCCTCTTATTCATTCTTATTTTGAAGAATAACTTCAAAATTCTGGCTTGTGTGAATAGACGGATAGAAGTGCTAGTCATCAGGATACCAAATGTGGAAGTGCTGTGGGAAAGATTATGAGGTCACTCATGGATCTGTTGAGACATGATTAAATTGGAGAAGCTCCTGAGACCTAAATGGGGATGTCAGTTGTGTATTTCAGACCTGGAGCTCAGAGAGAAAAAAAAATGGATTGGAGACATAAGTTCAGGAGTCAAGCATGTATATATAAGTAGTAATTAAAGCAATGGAAATAATAGAATTTTATTTTTTAAAAAAGAATATTAGTAACTATAGTATACAGAGTGGTGGACATGTTTTGGCCATCTTTTCATTTTGAGGTAAATTTTCCCTCATGGAAGCCCAGGGAATTAAATATTCCCCCCACCCACCTGTGGAAAGTAGAGAGCAGGTAGGGGACCTAGACTCAGCCAAGCTGACACTCCCACTCAGGACTTTAAATTGACACAAACATGCAGGGACTCTTCAGAAATTATTTATAGTGGCGACAATGGCAGTGGCAAAAGTTCGGCCATTAAGATGGGCAAACTTTGCCAGCAACAATGTTCATAACAAGCACGTTCTTGTGGTGTGGACTTGAACATACTCTCAGCTACTTGGCCTCTACTGGATCCTTCACATTTTAAAAGCAGGTTATTTAATTTTTCTATTGAATATGTGAGTTGGGTGATACATACTCTACTAAATCATTTTGCTGCTTAAGTTAGTCGAAGTTGGGCTCTACTGTTTTCAAATAAGAATCCTGTTTATATAATATGTATATCAGTAAAGTACATACTCTATTGTAGAAATTAACACATTACATTGTGATGATACATTTATACATCTGCCTCCTCTATCAGACCAAGGTTTTAAAAACTGTAGTTCATGACCTAATTAGTGGATTGTGAAATCAATTTAGTGGGTCATAAGCAGCATTTTAAAATGACACAGAATAGCACATAATAGAAAATAAAAGTAAATGAATAGAACAGAGTAGAAAAATAGAGGCTAAGCTTTGTTTTCTGAAACCTCTCTTGGTTACATGCATTGAATGTTTGCACTGGCCATAATACAAAGCATATTAATGCAAAAACCACAGAGCCCTCACATCTTCTTGGAATATAGAAAGCTGACAGAAAGTGTCATTGTCACACTAACATTAAGAAAAAGATGGATAATCTACAAAATTCTAACTTTTCTGGAGCCCATCGGAGAGGTGAGGTTACAGGGTAACCAGGTAAATCAATTGCAAAAGTCAAAAAGCCCCCTCTGAAGACAGATGGGACCCATGAACTGATTCACCTTGGGTAGAGCATGAGAAGAAGGAAGATAAGGTAATTCAATATTAAAGGACAAGCAAAACCAAGAAAGGGACATTATATTAGTACATTTTCATGCTGCTGATAAAAACATACCCAAGACTGGGCAATTTACAAAAGAAAGAGGTTTAATTGAACTTAATAGTTTCAAGTGGCTGCGGAAGCCTCACAATCATGGTGGAAGGCAAGGAGGAGCAAGTCACATCTTAGGTGGATGGTGGCAGGGAAAAAAAGCTTGTTCAGAGAAATTCCCATTTTTAAAACCATCAGATCTTGTGAGACTCATTCACTGTCACGAGAACTGCATGGGAAAGAACCATCCCCATGATTCAATCATCTCCCACCAGGTCCCTCCCACAACACGTGAGAGTCTACAAGATGAGATTTGGGTGGGGACACAGAGCCAAACCGTATCAGATATCTTATGACAAGGTGGAGTATGAGTGGAAGCATTTAAATACCCTTGACTGTCATTGGAAACCATGCTGCTGTGAGGTATTTAGTCAGGAGGCTACATTTTATTCAAAGTGATGTTATTGAGAGTTTATTTAAAATAACATAAACACCTATGCAACAAATGTATTCCTCTTTATAGAACAGATATGTTCCTGAAAATAGTGCATAGAAAAGAATTGTTCAATTAAGTCTGTTTTCTTCCATTGTTGTCACTTAGTGATATGTTGTATCAATTTCTCACTAATCTTCATTGACCTCTAAGCTTAGCGTTTCTTTGCTATCCTCCTCTCCCAAATTAATTAATCATAAAAGCATCAGGGATATTTTGATGATTGAAGAGATTTATTTTCTATAAAGAAAGAAACATTTCTAAAGTCAGCAATGGTCACTTAATTTATAGTCTCAAAATAGACAACACCAATTCTCACATTTAAAAAACTCTAAGTGGAATACTGTTGTATAGCAGCATATTGATTCTAAACATAAATATTTATACTCTACAAGGATTGTTCAAAAAGTAATTTATATGACTTTTTAAGATATTGATTTTATTGCGATGCAAAATAATTATTACAAAAATATAAACAACTTCTTGTCACTTTTCCATATAAATTCCTTGTAGAGTAAAATATTGATTATGATATAATGGTATTGATTATAATAGAATTATGACATAATCAATGATATAAGTTTCACGGATGATGAAATAAAATGTAGTGTCTTTAGTTGCTCTCTGTCTGCTCATCTACTTTTTTTTACTTTGAGATGGGGCCTCATTATGTTGCCCAGCTGGTCCTGAACTTCTGGGATAAAGTGATCCTCCTGCCTCAGTCTCCCTAGTAGCTGGGACTATAGGCACATGCCAGTGCATCTGGCTTATCTACTTTTTTACAGCATTGATGGTCTCCATCACTTCCTTCCCAAATGTGATTTTCTCTTTCTCCAAAAGCTGCGCTATTTGAGGGTTGCTCAGCCTGATTTCTCAGCGGCTTCTTCTTGACATGAGGATAAATTTTACAACACATTTTAAAGGCTTCAAAGGATCTGACTTGGCCTCCCGCTCAGCAGCACTTCTGTGTTCAGACTAATCTCTGTAATCTATCCTCTAACATACTGAACTTATTTTAGTGCCTTATTCTCTATTTTTTATTATTTTTATTTTTAAAAAATTTTTGTAGAGATGGGGGTCTCACTGTATTGCCCAGGTTAGTCTCATACTTCTGGGCTCAAACAATCCTCCTCCCTCAGCCTTCCAAAATGCTGGGATTACAGGTGTGAGGCAGCACACCCAGTCCTCTTAGTGCTTTGACTAGGCCATGCTCTCTCCCTGCTAGGCCTTCTTAGCTGAGTCTGGGGAAAGGGACTGTATTGTCAAGTAAGTTTAAGAAATTTGTGTACCATCACTGACCCTTACAGTTTCACAGTACAACAAAAGCAAATAAAAAACTATATGAAATCCTTGACTTAATTTTGTCTAACCCCAAATTCCACAAGCTTATTTTTCCTGTGTGCCTTTTTTCCTGATACATATTCTATCCTGAAGAATTGGAGTTCTATGATACTTCAGGGAAAGCTGATCAAGACAGTCTGTCCTTGATGGTTTCACAAATTCTTTGGCAGGCGTGGGCTCCATTTCATTACACAGGAGACATTAGTAAGTTAGAGATCCAGCTTCTAGGGACTTTCTGTCTTATTCTTTCTACTGTTTCCCTGGACATCCTGGACATGCCCATGCCCCCCAGTCCTGAGATGAATTCCAAATATTGTCAACAAAATGAGTATATTTATTCTTGGACAGTAAGACTAGGGATGAGGGAATAATTCTCCAGACATATTGCAGGCAGATTTGATGAACGCAGTGACCAATTGGATACGAGGGTGAGGGTGAGGGAGAAGATGAAGTCAAAGATGACTTTGGTGGTGAGTCCATTAACCAAGAAAGAAAATGAAAAGACATGTTCCCACCATAGCAGGAATGATTTTAAGTTCTGGGGATAGAGCAATGAACACAGAGACAATTTTTGTTTATTTGTAGTCATGTAGTGCTATGGAATATCTAGCTGGAGCCACCTGGTAATTCATAAATAGCCTTCAAGCAGACAGAACCACATGAGCAATACATTTATCTTGTAAATGTACTTCTTGAGCAATTCTCACAGTGTAACAGCTATCTTCTTATTAAAGCACTTCCTCTTAATCTACTGTTAAAAATATGTCATTTCTGTCCTTTGAAGGTCTGTAAACTAGTAGAGGTTTAAAGAGCATGCAATGGAAAGAGAGAGTGGATGAGTTGTGATTCCTGCGTAAGTCTTTTCAGCCACAATAGCACAAGGGAAAAGCCATCAGCAGTATAAGCAACAGTTGAATGTGATGTGCCTACTATCAGCACTTGATATGTGCTCAGCACTTAGTAGGTGCTGAGGACTCTGTCTTGGGTGCTTTCATGCATGTCATCACATTCTCCCAGAAGCGCAGCATTTTCAACCCTGGAAATAATTGAAAACGTGTCAGGAAGGTAGCTCTATTCTACCAGAGGGAACATGTGTGTTTTTCAAATGAACCAATAATAGACGAATTCTAGTCTATGTAATTCAATGTAATTTCAAAATCAGTTTTTGAAGATGAGCACAAATAAAATTTAAGAGGTTTACTAAATTTTTTCTGTCATCAATAGTCCCTAAGATAGAGAAAAAGAAAACCATAAACTAGAAATTGGTTGAAAACTCTCAGGAGGTCTTAGCTTCCCTAAGAAAAATATATTCATTTCTTTATTTAACATGAGTTCATTCTTGGCTTGAGTTTTTAGAAATCTATATGTTATGCTCAAACCAAAAGGAGAAAGCTAATGTGTAGTATATTCTTTAATAAAATGGTGACTCAAGGGTCTTTTCTCCTGTGTCATCAAGAAAGCAGGTCAACAAAAGGCTATTCTTCATCTTGTTTTTTTTTTTTTTTTGCTCTTCTATGTTTTATAATTTTTCCCAAATTAAAATCCATTACTTTTGTAATAAGGGGAAAAAAGCAAGAAAAAAGGATAATGGAATTATTCTTAGTAAAGTGTATTAAACCCTCAAATATTAAAATTTGCAAAAACAAGTTACTAAAAAAAAACATTGTTTTTTTTTTTTTTAACATGATGAAACAACCATCCCGATGTCACATTTGGTTTCCTTCTGCTCATTTAAGAAGAAAGAGTGTTCAGGGAGAGTTTGAGGTATTAATCTACCTTGCTATCAGCCTTCCCCACCTCTTCTCAAATGACGTTTAAAAAGGTCGATTTCTATGTTCAAGTCCATTTGTCTAGTACCTGGTCTTGATGTAAGCTTCTTTTAATTACAGTTTTTTGAAACAGTCCCAAGCCTTGACAAGACTGTCTCCCAGAAGCAAATTAAAGAATCAGAACTCTGAATATCTGATTCACCATTTTCATGACTAATTGATGGCAAAAAAAGAGTCAAGATTATAAAAACACAAAAAATTAAGCCTGTAAATGATCAGCTATACAAGCAAGAATCAACCAGTAAATGGACAGAGAAAATGGGGTAGATTCATACAATAGAATACTATCCAGCAATTAAATGGAATGGGCTACAGACACATGCTATGATATGGATGAATTTTAAAAACATTATGTTATGTGAAAGAAGCCAGATACAAGAGACCACATGTTATATGATTCTGTTGAAATGAAATTTCCAGAAAAGGCAAATCTATAAAGACTGAAATCAGATTACTGGTGCCTGAGCGGGGTGGGTGGTGAGGAGAATTAAAAGTAATGGGCATGAGGATCTCACTGAAGTAATGGAAATGTTTTAAAACTGATGTATTGCAATGGTTGTGCAACTTGATAAATTTATTTTTAAAATGATTGAAATGTACACTTTTTGAAATGAGTGATTTATACAATATATAAAATTTGCCTTAATTGGTTATAAAATAAGTTAATTTTAAAAATAGAAATAATTTTAAACTTTATTTTTATTCTTTTTTCTGACACCTTTATTTCTGGATATATGAAACATATAGTCAACTTTAAAAAGATATGTTAACCCCAACAAAGAACTAGACTTGCAGCTAGAATATAGACTACAAGGGGACAATGTATTTGTGGGTTGCATGGTCAACTACCCGCCTTAAATCACAGATATGATCGATTGAGGCGAACAAGCACAGAGATTAAGAGCAGTGTTTGGAGTCAGACAGATCAGCATCAAATCTTGCCTCCACTATTTACTAGCCGGGTGAACTTGACTAAATTCCTTAACAACGTACAAAGTGAAGATTATAATGGTGTGACCACAGAGGATTGTCAGAATTACATGAAATCATATTTTGGGAACATATAAATTAGGGGCTACATGTCGTTACTGAGTGATAGCTCAATAATTTCCCCATTCATTATAGTTTTAAAAGTATATAATTATTAGAACAAATACATAAAACCACTTGAAAAACACTATATTTAAGTAAAACATTAAAAATTTTTAAATTAAGTTTAGAACTGGACTTGAATTTAAAATCCACACTATTAATGCCACAATAGTTACTCTCAACATAATGTGTCCCATAAATTAGTGTTGTTATTTTAAAATACATCTGCAACACATTGTTTATTTATGTCTTTATTACAGTTTTAGAGTTAAATTGGGATATTAGTAAATTTATTAGGGCTTATAATTTTTTGTTGATACGTATTCTACTGACTTTAAAAGTAAAATATGGCCGGGCACAGTGGCTCACGCCTGTAATCCCAGCACTTTGGGAGGCCAAGGTGGGCGGATCACGAGGTCAGGAGATGGAGACCATCCTGGCTAACATGGTGAAACCCTGTCTCTACTAAATATACAAAAAATTAGCCGGGTGTGGTGGCGGGCACCTGTAGTCCCAGCTACTCGGGAGGCTGAGGCAGGAGAAAGGCGTGAACCCAGAAGGCGGAGCTTGCAGTGAGCCGAGATAGCGCCGCTGCGCTCCAGCCTGGGCAACAGAGCAAGACTCCGTCTCAAAAAAAAAAAAAAAGTAAAATATTTAAATATAGATTTTGCATATCAGTGTTTAATACAGTACAATATGTTAATTGAAAAGTAGTTTTTAAAAACTATGTAGTTCTTGTTACATTAAGCCCTAAGATATAAATTAAAGCTTAATCCAGCTTCACTTTCATCTCCATATCTCAGTAGATTTTACTTTCTTCTTTACCTGGCTAGCTTGTATTTAGCTGTTTCTAGGGCTAGGATGGATAGCTGCAATATTTTAGATGAGCATATTATCAGAACTTTCCAACTTCTTAGCCATGGATTATGAACATCCTAGATTATTTCTTCTATAGTTTTGAAAGCAAGGATTTAGTCTTTTCTTCTCAACCGGTGATTACTGGTTTATAGCCATCTTGCCAATATCAACTAGCAAAAGGAAGAAAGGCCAGAAACAAAATAAAGATAGTGACTCCTTTCCTGTTCACAGTTCTTATCTTCCCTGACCTTCTCTCTAAGCAACAGGAAGAGTGAGCATTGCAAACTCTATCTCCACCTCAATAGGATGGTTCCTTTAACAATCCAATGATAGTCATTTCCCATAAAGAGGTCTTTTTCCTCCTGAAAGATATCTCTTGCTGTGACCGCCCTTCTCAATATTGCTTGAAATTAAATTCAATGGTGGTGTCTTCACTGCTGAGGCTTCCCATGCAACTTGGAACTGTTATAGTTTAGACATAGAAAAGGGCATTAAAAGGAATGTCAGAGACTATCCTAATCCAATTCTTTTTAGTAAGAAAGTTGTTTCTGATACAACTGTCTTAGTACAAGTTTCTTCTAACTAATATTTCAAAAATTTTGTGTCCATACATGTGTATCTATTTACGTGTATAGAAAATTACTCTGAAACAGAAGCGGTTCTAAACAGACCTAAAATGTATTATAACCACTGTGGTTCTCAAACTCCTGTGGGCTTCAGAACCACTTGGAGGATTTGCGAAACAGATTGCTGCCTCCTTTCTCTCTTACTCCTTGCTCCAGTTTCTAATTCAGCAGATTTAGGATAGAGACATGGAATTCACATTTCTAACAAGTTCCCATGTGCTGCTACTGCTGCTACTGCTACTATTGCTGCTGGTCCAGGGGCTACACTTTGAGAACCATCATTCTAGAAGCCCAGCTACACTATCTGCTGACCCCAATTCTTATAAAGTCCCCATTACAGATGCAGTATTTGAACAGAATGGAAAGATTTTCCCTTATGAATCTCCTGAATGAAGAATACCTCTGAAACCATAACTACTCCAAGTGCTTTTTTTTAAACACAGACTTCTGTTGCCTAGGGAACAGACTGAGCTAGAAGAGTTTTCTTAACCAGAATGTTGCTCAGTTCAAGATTTTATTTTCTACAATCCAATAAATGTCTCCAAGTAGGTCATTTTCTTTTCTGTATCTCTGTTACCTAATCTCTATATAGAAATATATATATGTATATATGTGTATGCATATATACAGTCTGTGTGAATATATACGCATCCTATACACTTGTTCTAAAATAATAAAAAGTAAAAGAATTAGACTGTAGTTTTTTTTACAAGAATTTAAAGCAAGAGTTGACACACATATGTTACTGATTCTCACATTTGTCCTTTGTATAGACATTTTAAAATTGCATAGCATTTTATCTTCTTCCTTCTGTGCTTGTGGGACATACACAGTAAGAAAAGTATCATAATGTAATTAATAGTATATTGTAACCTGGGAAATTCTTAGTATAGGTTTGACTTCATAGAATAGAGTTGCTTCTAAAAAATCGAGTATAAATGAACCTGGATGTCAAATCCAGTTCTCTTACTGATTCTCATTACGAAACTGAAGATAAGCTCCTTTGCGGGGGGAGGGGGGGTGGGAATTGGCTCTAGTACATAATAAAATTATACCTGAGAATACAATAAGTTCTTTAAATAGAAAAATGGTAATTTTCTGATAAAAATAATAATAGCCAATGTGTGCCACAAATTATGAATACCGAGTAGCTAAGGTCATTGTCATGTTCTATATGCTTGCTTAAAGGTCAAAAAGAAAAATAACTGTCAGCCTAGCTGAAAAGAACTTCCTGGATGAAAACATAACTAAGACTTTGCAAACTCCTTAACACTGAGTAGTAGGATGGTGTCAAAGTTGCTTGAGATTGATTGGATCAGCAGCACTTTGTTGTGGAACTGACGGGCTTTTAAAAAATATATATTTTTGCCTTATTGGAAATGGAGGGAAAACTAAGAAAGTCAGCAATTATAAGATATAGCAATGGGCGTTAAAGAAAAAAATCAATGATACTTGTTAAAACAAGACACTTGTAAGAAATACTTTATTCTGAAACTTCATGATGGGTGTAGGGAGCACTGCAATGGGGTTTTAGAGTGAGGGAGAGAAAGATTGATCTCAACTCTGAATACGGCACAACCAAGCAGGAATTTATAGCCAAGGAGAAGTGTGGCAGTCAGCAGATGAAAAATTACGAAGAGGAAACATCATGGGTAAGGGGGATTCTGGTTAAACAGATCTAACAGGATTCTTGCTGAAGACAGGCTAGTGTATTACCCGAGGGGGATGGTAGAGGATGAGGAACCTGATCAGATATTGAGGGTGATCAGATATGAAGGGTAGGGGTTCTTGCTAAACTGACTTAGCAGTGTTCTTTGCTAAAACTGGATTTTACAAGAAAGTGCATAGACGAGTCTAAGAAAAGTTTCAGAAGCCTGACGAAAGTTGAGCTAAGCAAAAAATATTTGTCATAAACAAATGCTCGGAGTAGCATGTCCATTAAAGCTGTAGGCCAGGAGACCTGAAAATGCTCTAAAGCCAGTCAGTCTGGCATCTATCAAGTTAGTTCCCTGGAATTAAAATTTTAGCAGAGGATTTCTTGAAGAGGCAGTGCAGCAGGGTGATAATACCACAGAGTCATAATCAGACAGGCTAGGTTCTACTCTTGGCTTTGTAGCATTTAAGCTACATGACCACAACCTTGCTACCATAAACCAGCAACATTGGCATTGCCTGGAAGTTTATTAGAAATCCCAAAGCTCAGCCATAGCCCAGACCCACTGAATCAGAATCTGCACTTTAAGAAGATCCTTGAGTAATTCATAGGCACATATATAATAATGCTGGATGCACTGCCCAGTTTCTCCTTCAGAACTGAGAAACTAAATCTCCTAGTGGCTGCTCTTTTCTAGAAAGTACACTTGTCTGGAGAGAGCCGCTTCACCAAAGTCATGTCCCCTTCTCCAAGGGCAGTATTCATCACATGACTGTCTACGTAGAAGTCCTAGTCCCCTCACCCTACCTGGAACTACTCTGAAGGGTCACTTCAGCTTCAGAATTCCCAGGGTATTGATGAAGGATATTGTTATTACTGCATTCAGTGTAAGTTCTCTTCCTGTTCAATGCCACTTCTTTCTCTTCCCTTCTACACATGTTTATCCTGAGAGACCTTCTAAGGAAACTCTACACACTAATATCCATCTCTCGATGTGTTTGCTGGAGAACCCAATCTGCACCAACACTGACATTTGAAAAATCTGAGCCTTCGTCAGGTAAATTAACCTCTGGCTTTTTAGTTTTCTCATTTATAAAATGAAAATAGTAATAGTATACTCCTTACGGTTTGTTGAGGATTAAATTACTAATATTTAAAAGTACTTAGAGCAGTGACTGTTTCGTGCAGTACCCAAAAAGTGTTAGTCATCATTATGTAGTGGGTCTGTAGACATAAAGTTATATTAATATCTGTCATGATCATATTCCTTGTTCCAAAAACACTATTATTCATATGCAAAACCTAGGTTAATTGGGGAATTATCTATTTACTTATGTATTCAGGCACTTTGCATGGGCCGATGGGAAGGAAGTGCAGGTACACATATACTAACGTTATCTGAGTTAGGGTAGAGAATATTAAGCTGATAAAAGCCAGTGGGTTACACTGTCTTCAGTACATAGTGACATTCTTATTTCCTCTTAAACAGAGAACAGTATAAAACAGAGAAGAGCTCTACAATGTGAATCGAAAAGACAGTGATACATGAAAGCATTAGAATCAAATAATTTCAGGACAGAAAGGGATCTTACCCATCTAGCCCAACTATTCATACAGGAATAAATAAATCTAGCTGCCACATCTAATATATATATATTTAAAGCTTATCTTGTTTCTCCTTTCTGCAGGTTTAATAGTGAATGTTACCATTCTGTCTTTCCAGAAACCTAACACATATATATGCATGTATACATACACACACACACACACACACACACACAAAACAAACAAACAAACAAAGAAACAAAACCCATACACTCACAGTCTTGGAATTAATGCCCTGGGCCCTTGGTTTTCTACTGATTTTGGCTCCATTTATGTTTAGCTGAATGAACCAGCACTATCTTCTGGATGGTACTCCTTTTCTTCGGTCTCCACTGGGCTCTGTAAGGTCACATTTTTAATGCACACATCACTACAGCTCAAGTCCTCAACTCAGTGATGTTATACATCTAGTCTTTGTCAGATTCCCCTTCCTGGGTACTTTTGGGAATTCTCAGGAATTACACTGGCCAGCCATCTGGATGTGAACTGCTGTCTGCTCTTCACATATATCTCTGTCCATCCCTTTGTGGGTCACATTTTGTGGGCATTCCTCTTTCTGCGCTCCTCTATACTTCCTCCCTGCAAGTGCAAGGGAAGGTGGCAATATCCTTCTCTCAATTCTTTCCACAGATGACAGCATCTTGATGGCAACCTTTAACCAGACCTTACAGAAAGCATGGAGATGACAGAAGTAATTTAGTTATCCAAGTTATCTTTGCTGTGTAACAATAGAAGCTTAAAAAAACAACCAGCACTTATTATAAATCACACTTTTTTTGGATTCCTTTGCATCATGGTGTCAGCTGGGGCTGCAGTCATGTAGGGGCCCAACTGAGCTGGAATTTCCAATGATACGAAACAATACAAAGCAAAGTTCGCAATAAAGTTAATTCTACAATTTCTATAAACAGAGAGGCATGAGACCCAGGTCTTAGTGTTCAAAAGTTGGATTTTCACACTCACTTGGGACAGGAGATGTGACTGGGCTCTGGATGAGGTGGGGAGTTAGGACTGCATATATCTCTATATAAGGGGATCTATAAATACTATGCTCTTCAGCCCAGGTAAACCTGCTGTCTACCTGTGTTTTAGGGTAAAATTATTGTTTTGCTTGAGCAATCAAAATCACACGTCTATGCTAAACAATAGTTAGAGAAAGTAAATATATACTTCTCGTGAAGTGTAGAAGTCCCAAGTACAGAAATTAACGTAAAATATGTTTTGGGGCCAGTGAAATCTGTGTCCTTCTCTAGCAGAAACAGATGCAGAAAAGAACTATTTTATATAGACATTTAATGAACCTAGGATATTAAGAAATTTCACGGAGGATGGGTACATAAAATGGTTCAAAATAAACAATTATTAATCTACAAGAGATGATTATCTGCCAGAGTCTCTATCATAGTAGACGTACCATGCCATTTCTCCATCATAGTAGAAGCCACAGAGAGAATTCACTCCCCATGAACTCAAATAATTGCAAGCTAAAAGAGACTATAGAAAAAGTATTCTTGAAATGATTCAATAAGACAAAATTTTAACATATAACATGACATGACCCAAGGATAAAAATAAGAGGTCAACTTGAAAATAAAACAGAATTGACAGAAATGAAAAATGGAATCATCGAAATGAAATATATATTAGATAAGTTTAATAGCAAACAAGACAAGCTGGAAAAAATAGCAAACTGGAAATAAGTCTGAGGAAATTACGCAGAATGTAGAATAGAGAGAAAAAAATATGAAAACATAAAAGAAGTTAAAAGAATGAATGAATATTAGAGTATGTTGAAGCTAGACTGAAAGGAGTACATACTGTATGTATAATTATGTGAAATTCAAGAACAGGCAAAACTAATCAAGGTGATGGAAGTAAGAGGAATGATTACCTCTGGAGACAAAAGGTAATACTGCTTGAAAAAGGACACCAGGGAGACTTCTGTGCTGCTGGTAATATTCTGTATCTCAGTATGGGTTGTGGCTACATGGATGTGTATATGTATATGTAAACATGCAGGTTTTCAAGCTCTATGTGTTCAGTTTGCGGACTTAGTTCACTTCGCTGTACGTGTTTCATACCTCAAAACAAAAAAGACAAACAGCAACAGACAGGTTAACAGACATGGTAAATAGAATGAGAAGATCCAACATATACCTATAAAATAAGGCCCCCAGAGAGAAATGAAAGATGTAACATTAGAAGAAACTATAACCGATAATATTTTATAATTGAAGAAAGACCTGGGTTCTCAGAATGAGGACACATTCAATGCCTGGAGAAGAGTAAGTTTAAAATATAAATAAATGCCACCTAGATGTGTCTCAGTAAAATGGCAGGACATCAAAGATGAAATTCTTAAAAACAATCACTGAGAGAAGAGAAGTTACCTGTGAAGAAACAGGTAGACTAACATTGGATTTCTCTAAGAGAGAAAATAATTGTTAGACTGGAATTCTATATCTAAGTAAACTAGCACTTAATACTAAGGGCAAAAACTGCTTGCTGAGAGTTTCTTAAAAAATGTAAAAAAGAAGAATTAGAATGCAAGAAAAGATGCAGAGCAAAGAAATTGGCAGACAAGTGAGTAAATCTAAAAAAGTAATAGCTTTTGGGGTACGAGTGATTTTTGGTTATGTGGATGAACTCTGTAGTGGTGAGTTCTGACATTTTAGTACATTCATCACCCAAATTGCGTACATTGTGCTCAATATGTAGTTTTTTTTTAATCCCTCTCTCCCCTCCCACCCTCCCCTTCCGAGTCTCCGAAATCTATTATTTCACTCTGGATGTCTTCACATCGTCATAGCTTAGCCCCCACTTGTAAGTGAGAACACACGATATTTGGTTTTCCATTCCTGAGTTACTTAGAATAATGGCCTCCAGCTTTATCCAAGTTGCTGCAAAAGACAATATTTTGTTCCTTTATGACTGAGTAGTATCCCATGGTGTATGTATACCACATTTTCTTTATTTACTCGTTGGTCGATGGGCACTTAGGTTGGTTCTGTATCTTTGCAATTGTGAATTGTGCTGCTATAAACATCTGTGCTCAAGTATCTTTTTCGTATAATGACTTCTTTTCCTCTGGGTAGATACAGAGTGGTGGGATTGCTGGTTCAAATGGTAGATCTAGTTTTAGTTCTTTAAGGAATTGCCACACTGTTTTCCAAAGAGGTTGTACTAATTTATATTCCTACCAACAGTGTAAAAGCATTCCCTTTTCACCACATCCACACTAATATCTATTTTTTTTCTACTTTTTAATTATGGCCATTCTTACAGGTATCTCACTGTGTTTTTAATTTGCATTTCCCTGACGGTTAGTGATGTTGAGCATTTTTTCATGTTTGTTGGCTGTTTGTACACCTTCTTTTGAGAAATGTCTATTCATGCCCTTAGTCCACTTTTAGATGGGATTGTTTGTTTTTTTCTTGCTGATTTATTTGAGTTCCTTGTGGATTCTGGATACTAGTCCTTTGTCAGATGCATAGTTTGCAAATATTTTCTCCCATTCTGTGGGTTGTCGAGGGATGCTATTAACCATCTACAATGCACAGGACAGTCCCTCACAACAAAGGTAAAAATGTCAGTGGATGTAACCACCCTTTAGAGAAAATCACATACACACACACACACACACACACACACACACACACACACACTCGAGAAAATTTACAAGGCTGTTCATTGCAGCATTTTTGTAGTTTATGAAAAATAAAAACTGAGAACAATGTAAATGTAAATGTAAATTGAGGAGTAGACAAATATACCATCATATATTTATACCATCGTATAACACAGTGAAATATTCTACAACAGTTAAAATGAATAAATTAGATCTATTTGTCGACATGACTAAAGCACAAGGAGAGTTTTGAGTGACAAAAGCAAGTTGTTAAAAGAAATGGACTTATGCCGCTGTATATGTAATATTCTAGAAACGCAATGTGATACTCTAATATATTTAGGTAGATTTTCTCCCAAAATGGACATAAATTTCCCCTTCCTGCATCTGTCCCTATGGAAAGGCCCCTCCCACAAGAAGTTGCATGACTTGCTTTGGCTAATGGTATCATAGCAAACAACATGGCAGAGACTTAAAAAGTGCTTGGACACCACTTTAATCTTGCTTCTCTTGGGAACTCTGGTGAGCACAACAGTGTGAATGAGTGAATAAGCCTCATCCATTCTGTTGGACGATGCGAGACACTTGGTCAAGTCATTCCTGTCATCCTGACTGACATTGAGCCAACTGCCAGACATATTTGTGAAACCAAGGTAGAGATCTAGTTCCTAGACCAGAAAGAAGAACTACTCACCAGAGCTACAGAATTATGAGAAATAATATGTTTGTTGCTTTGAGCCACCAAGTTTGGAGGTGATTTGCTGCTACACATCGAAAGGTAACTGATAGAACTGTTCATAGAGAATACATAAGCATAAAAGTCTAAAAGTATGGATGGATAGATAGAACAAACACCACTTTGGATGACAATGAATCCTGGACCACAATTCTGATGATAATTATCGCCCTGATATAAGGAAGGGAGTGAAAAGGAGGAGGTGAGATTCTCTTTTACCTATACATTTTTTTTTCTTTTTTGAAATGGAGTTTCGCTCTTGTCGCCCAGGCTGGAGTGCAATGGCGAGATCTCTGTTCACTGCAACCCCTGCCTCCCTGGTTCAAGCGATTTTCCTGCCTCAGCCTCCTGAGGAGCTGGGATTACAGGCACCCACCACCATGCCCATCTATTTTTTGTATTTTTCAGTATAGATGGGGTTTCATCATGTTGGCCAGGCTGGTAAAAATAATTGCTGAAAGGGCTTCCACTCTCAGGTCTGACATGTAAAGAGCTTGGAAGTTATCTCATCTTTATCATAGAAAAAAAATGCTGAATAAACTGGAAATCAGTGACTTTTCTTGTACTCATCAGAGACCTGAAGTTGCAAGACACACTGCCACACTGAAATTTGGACAGACAGGCGGACAGAGAATTGCCACTGAGATCAGCTAACCTGGAACATCAGGTTCTAGGGCAGGAACTGCTAGCGACACTGTAACTGGTAATTTTTATGAACTGCTGGAGGCTGAGTGTGGAATAGCTGAAAGTGAGCAACATCTGGGGGGGCCGCAGTTTTAGAGGTCTCCACACTTTTGTGGGTTTTACCTCTAGGCACCTCATCAGGTTTTCATGGTGGATCTAAGGAAAATCGTGTTATGTCTCTGGCAGAGGAAAGGGAAAAGTAACCATTTAGAAATATACCTAGAGCATTCTCTATAACAAAGCCCTTTCAGTGGGAAAGGATTTTATCAGAGCCTTACCTCATCTGGGAGGAAGGGCAGTTATGTATCTCTAGTACCTCCTAGCTTTCCCGTCTCACCTAAAGGTGATGTCACAGCCCAGAGTGCATGTGTGAAGGTCACAGCTCCGAAAAACAGGTCCCCTAAAAGACTGCTGTGTATTTCATCATAACACTATAGAGTGCTTCCCCTCCCAGACATCTTACTGTCAAATCAATAGGACTCCAGTAAAATAACAGTGGTTTACCATTGACAGAGCTGCAAGGTGCAGAGTATATTCAAGAAGCAAGTCTTAGAGAAATCTAAAGACAACAGGGGAGACAAAAATAAGGACACTACAGGAATTTGAAGCCTCCATAACCCACAGGGAGAGCAAGCACTAAGCACAGCCTGACTTTTAGCCAGATTAACATAAAACCTTACACTACAGGTCTGTTCACCTCAGGTTCTATTATTTGATGCACCATATACAATAACAATACAAATTCAACATCACATAGCAAACCAACAAAAATGCAAGGAATGCTAATAAGCATAATAATAATAAATTAAAAAATAAAAAGTAGAGTCTGAGGAAACAAAGCAAGATTCAGAACCAGACTCAGATGTGACACAGACTTTGGAATTACCAGATAGAAATTTTAAAATATCTATGATTAATATGTTAAGGATGCTAATGAAAAAAGTAGACAACATGCAAGACAGATGGGTAATGTAAGCAAAGAAATGAAATATTTAAGAAAGAATCAAAAAGAAATGTTAGAGATAAAAAACACTGTGACAGAAATGAAGAAGGGCTTTGATGGGCTCATCAGCAATCTAGACATGACCAAGGAAAGAATCATCAAGCTTGAAGATACAGCAATAGAAAGTTGCCAAACTGAAATGCAAAGAGGAAAAAATAATTTTAAAATGAAACACAATATCCAAGAACTGTGGGATGATTTCAAAAGATGTAATGTATGTGTCATAGGAATAACAGAAGAAGAAGAAAGGGAAAGTGGAACAGAAGAAATATTTAAAGTAACAAATGCCTGGGGAACTTTCCAAAATTCCCCAGACACCAAACCACAAATCCAGAAAGCTCAGAGAACACAAAGTAGGATAAATGCCAAAAAATCTACTTCTAGGCATATCATATTCAAGCTGTGGAAATCCAAAAATCTTTAAGGAAGCCAAGTCGGGGGAGGTGGGCATGGTAACATCTTACCTGTAGAAGAACAAGGTTAAGGATTACAGTGGACTTCTTGTTAGAAACCATGCAAGCAAGAAAATAATGGAGTGGAATAAAGTGTTGAAAGAAAAAAGCTAAGAGTCTAGAATTCTATCCAGTGAAATTTTCTTTTAAAAGGGAAGAAACCTAGACCCTCTGACAAATAAAAACCGAGAGAATTCATTGCAAGGTACCTGCCCTGCAAGAAATGTTGAAAGTGCTTCACAAAGAAGAAAAATGATATAGGTCAAAAATTCAGATTTACATGAATAAGGGAAGACTATTGAAGAAGGAATAAATCAAGGTAAAATAGCATATTTTATTTTTCTCATTATTAGTTGGTCTAATGAATACAGTTGTTTGAAGTTATAATAATAACAATGGATTTGGCGATTATAACATATGAAGAAGTGAAATGAATGACAGCAATGTTTTAATGCATGGGAGGGATAAAGTACCTTTATCTTCTTGAAACTCTTATCTCTTGCAGTCTGTTACTTTGGAAAATGGACCTTTGTGACTGACTTGACAAACCCCTGGAATATTATTACCTCAGGATCTGTATTTAGTCTTTTTATTATTATTATTATTATTATTATTATTATTATTATTATTATACTTTAAGTTTTAGGGTACATGTGCACAACGTGCGGGTTAGTTACATATGTATACATGTGCCATGTTGGTGTGCTGAACCCATTAACTCGTCATTTAGCATTAGGTATATCTCCTAATGCTATCCCTCCCCCCTCCCCCCACCCCACAACAGTCCCCAGTGTGTGATGTTCCCCTTCCTGTGTCCAAGTGCTCTCATTGTTCAATTCCCACCTATGAGTGAGAACATGTGGTGTTTGGTTTTTTGTCCTTGCAATAGTTTGCTGAGAATGATGGGTTCCAGCTTCATCTATGTCCCTACAAAGGACATGAACTCATCATTTTTATGGCTGCATAGTATTCCATGGTGTATATGTGCCACATTTTCTTAATCCAGTCTATCATTGTTGGACATTTGGGTTGGTTCCAAGTCTTTGCTATTGTGAATAGAGCTGCAATAAACATACGTATGCATGTGTCTTTATAGCAGCACGATTTATAATCCTTTAGGTATATACCCAGTAATGCAATGGCTGGGTCAAATGGTATTTCTAGTTCCAGATCCCTGAGGAATCGCCACACTGACTTCCACAATGGTTGAACTAGTTTACAGTCCCACCAACAGTGTAAAAGTGTTCCTGTTTCTCCACATCCTCTCCAGCACCTGTCGTTTCCTGACTTTTTAATGATCGGCATTCTAACTGGTGTGAGATGGTATCTCATTGTGGTTTTGATTTGCATTTCTCTGATGTCCAGTGATGATGAGCATTTTTTCATGTGTTTTTTGGCTGCATAAATGTCTTCTTTTGAGAAGTATTTGTTCATATCCTTCACCCACTTTTTGATGGGGTTGTTTGTTTTTTTCTTGTAAATTTGTTTGAGTTCATTGTAGATTCTGGATATTAGCCCTTTGTCAGATGGGTAGGTTGCAAAAATTTTCTCCCATTCTGTAGGTTGCCTGTTCACTCTGATGGTGGTTTCTTTTGCTGTGCAGAAGCTCTTTAGTTTAATTAGATCCCATTTGTCAATTTTGGCTTTTGTTACCATTGCTTTTGGTGTTTTAGACATGAAGTCCTTGCCCATGCCTATGTCCTGAATGGTATTGCCTAGGTTTTCTTCTAGGGTTTTTATGGTTTTAGGTCTAACATGTAAGTCTTTAATCCATCTTGAATTAATTTTTGTATAAGGTGTAAGGAAGGGATCCAGTTTCAGCTTTCTTAGACCAATGGAACAGAACAGAGCCCTCAGAAATAATGCTGCATATCTACAACTATCTGATCTTTGACAAACCTGACAAAAACAAGCAATGGGGAAAGGATTCCCTATTTAATAAATGGTGCTGGGAAAACTGGCTAGCCATATGTAGAAAGCTGAAACTGGATCCCTTCCTTACACCTTATACCAAGTCAATCCTAAGCCAAAAGAACAAAGCTGGAGGCATCACGCTACCCAACTTCAAACTATACTACAAGGCTACAGTAACCAAAACAGCATGGTACTTGTACCAAAACAGAGATGTATTTAGTCTTAGATTTTTCAGCCATGCAGCCTTTTCTAACTTTGATTTGTAGTACATCTAGAGTCACCACAACTTTAAAGAAAGACCTTAATCCTGTGCACTGTCAAGTCAACATTTATTTGCTCCCTCTTCCATAATCCTATGTCTGTAAACCAGAAGTAGAAATCTATGGAACTTGAACTAACCTCTTCTCAGACTTTCTTTTGGTAAAGTTGGAATCACGTGTGTGTGGAGGTACTGGTTGTTGGAATTTTTAGGTGCACTAAACTAAACTACAGCCATTTGGCTTGGTTGGCCTTTAAGTAATTTCTTTCATTGTGTCCAAGCTAAATCTTATTACTTCTTATAAATTATTAGCAACAACCATGTTTATTTAATTCTCAGTGGAGTGTGGAGGTTTTGCCATGTCACCCTAAATTATATGCATTTTAAGAGACAGCTTTGAGTCAGAGTTGACATTTGAACCCAGCTTCCTTTAGAGCACTTTTAAAATTCCTATTACCATTAAATGATTTATTCTATTTTTTTTCTCCACAAATCAAATGTAGTAGGTAGGCTTATTTTTCTTTTTAAAGCATCTGTTTTCTTCTGTAATTTTCCATAGGGAAGAATAAAATTGAAAATCTGTAGCCTTAGCAGTTTTAAAAATTGTATCCTTATGATGCCAAGAGGCCAGGGAGAAAAACTTCATAGGCAACTTGCTTTGGAACAATCTCTAAAAATATTTTTTCCATAAAAGGTATGATTTTTCTGCTGGATATTTACAAAGATAAATAACCCCATAACCTACAATGAGACAGCTTCATTTCATGAAATCACAAAAGAAACATGCATTAGAGGTAAAACAGCAACAATAAAAATAGAAATCTAAGTCATTAGAGGGATTTGTAAGGAGTAATAGACATTTTAAAAATGTACTATTAGCAAATTGATTGTACATACAGTAACTTTCCAGCTATACTTGTTTTTACCCTGTAAAATACAGTAAACAACTGCATTCCTTGAAGTTTTGACAATTGGCTCTTTATTCTCCATTCCCTAGAACACAATTAACTAGGTTTTATTTCTTATTCACATGGCACTACATGATCAGTTTAGAGATATTAAAAGAATAGGGTTAAACTCATCTTTTATTGTGTAGTATGTGAAAAGTCTTGAATGGATATGATTCCAAAATAGCCTGTCTTAATGCCAATGCCATGGAGCTACATGAATTTATATTGGATATTTAGATTTACTTTATAAGAAGGAATGTAAACAGTTCCTGGCACAATGCTTGGTTCATATAATTGCCATTACAATAAGGTGTACAATTCATAGTACAAATGATCATTTAAAGAATACAAGGTACCTGTACCAGAAGGCCCCCCAGTGGCTATTATCAGTTAGGGTTTTTCATGGGAGGTGACCGAAACACATCATGACAGTACTGGCTCTGGACTCTGTAACACAATCAGGCTGATCTGGTCAGCCCGGCTTCCACGTCACCTGGCTTTATCTAATGAGAGGCACTGGTGGGAGTGTGGCAGGCAAGAAGAAGGGAGATGCCACAGTATTTCTTCTCTCCCTCTCTGTCTCCAGCAGCTTCTCCTGCTGCAGCTAAGTCTCTTTTATTGCTCTAGTTTCTGCCAGATAGGTCTACTGTGGTTTCAACTTCTTCCAGGCAACTCTGGCCTCCTAATTCTGATAACACCACTTTTTCCCTTTATCCCTCCAGCCTAAGGGTGACAGTAGCTTCCTGCTATGGCTGATCTCTAGGTTGTTTCACAGCGTGAGGTTGGCTTCACAGATCTTTCATCACCCATTTATAAACCCCTGCATCTGGTACAAAAACACAAAAGCAGTTTCTGTTTTCCTAGTTAGACCTGACAAATACATTGACTAACTTGAGAAGCAAAAGGGTTTATTGGAAGACTGATGTGATAGTTTACGAATTGAAATGAGAGCTGAAAAAAAACACAGTTTGGAAATTACAGGAACTAGGATGGTTTTAGGAAATGCGGTACCAGGAATCTAAGGACAATTTCTTCATCACTGCCATTATATGACTCAGCTGCAACTGCCTTCTGCCTGTATCTCCACTGGAAATTCAAATTCCCAGAAGAATTAAGGTCAAGATTGGGGCACAGGCCTACTCCTGTTGTGGTGGTGTTGGTGACTGAGAGCCAAAAGAATCCCAAATAATGGAAGGCAGGAGTTCATCAGAGGATGGGATGTCGGACAGACAAAATAGCAGGGATCCATGACTGTGACATTGACTTGTCATGGTCAGACTTTGGTCCTGAATCTTATAGGCCCAGGACACTGAATTTTTAGGCACTCTGAAAATGAGTACATATCCCATTTTAATAAGGTTTGCAGAGATTGCGCCTATCAAATGGCTAGTTTACTAATTTATAATGAAAAATACAACAGTCAGGTGAGCTACATATTTAAGATGGCCTGATCAGCACATTTTGTATTAGCCAAACCACATGTAAATCAAATAGTGGAAGATTGATTGTGAGCATGAAATGAGAACAAAGGGTGTCATTTGAGAGGCAGTTCAAATAATAACAGGTGTCTCAAATATTGAGATGTCTCGAGAGATGTCTCTCCGGTAAAGAAGTTTAAGACACTTACTCACTGTTGTAGGTTGGATTCTCTGGAAGCAGATGCTGAAACAATTAGGAGTACACTATGTTTATTAGGAATCAAAACTATGATGGAAGGGGGAGGGATCAGGAAGGGGCAGCGGGAGAAGTTGAATTATAAGGCAGGACAGACCTATCAAAGACTTGGCCCACCCAGTAGGGAGCTCCGGACAAGTCCTATCCATCATTGTTGTCCAGTGTCGGACTGAGATCACCAGGCCTTCATACTCCTGCTTCACTGGGTCACTGAGCATCGCTTACCCTGGGAAAGGCTTGACCCTGAAGGGGCCGTGTGGCACATCTTTACATTTACCACACTCACTGTGGGTGTAAGCTTGCTCTGGAAGCGGCACAACTCAGAGCCACTTAGCCAAGAAAACCTCCTCTTTTCAACAAAGCCTTGTGATCCGTCAGGCTCTGCTTCTTCTTGAATGGTGCTTCCATGTGCCCTGACAATATCTGCCTGTTACTCTCCTTTCTGTTCACTCTGTGTTTCTCCAAAACAGAATATACAACAAAAGTAATTTCTGCTAAAAAATATCCATCACTTTGCACTTTTGTCAACTTGAGATGACTGCCGGATAACTGATTGGTATTTTGGGTATCTCCAAACCTTCTAGACACACAAGGGCAGTCGCTCGTTCTGCTCTCACTCATGCCAATACATATAGTGTGGGTGGATGGCCCTGCATTGATTCTGAGGGCAACTTTGGTTGCATCGACCATACATAACAGGTGTTCTCTATATATCTTTTTTTCTTTCCTAATTTCCTATTTTCTTTCTACTCTTCTTATCTATATATATGGGATTAATAGAATATTCAATAAGAGATTAGACCCTAGTGTGGCCTGGTGTGCCATCTCCCTTAGACTGAGACTGCATCACACTCTCTCAATTTACCTGAACTAGAATAAGTTATAAAGACAAGCAATCCTTAGCATACCAAGACAAAAGAACCATAGACAAAATGTACATGTGTTAAAATGGTGGCAGTGTTTGCATTTCAAGAAACATGTCAGTGATAATGCTAGTCACTCTCAGTTTAATAATAACAGTTATTTTTTCTTCTTCATAAAATCTGCCATAAAAACCCGAGTTGAAGTTGACACATCATTACTTGGTGAAGGCCTTCTGAGAGCCCCCCAGGCATGATTCACAGCCGATGGATTACAAAGGGGAAGGGGGAATTGGGAGATTGTATCTCAGTTACTTTCAGAAACCAAATATATGTATGCTTTTGAAGAAAAATATGAGGCCACTTGAAGTTTAATATCAAATTAAATTCTACTTCAATTCAGTCTTTTACAAGGTAACATCCAAAAAATATTTCTGATGTTATTATTATTTGTCTCTGCCTATCATCATGGATGAACATTTATCCACACTCGCCCTGCTTCCAGACACATTCTTTTTCTTTCCTCCCAAGCCACAAGCCCCCTGTTGTCTTCCTTTTCTTCTGCAATTTTCTTCCTTATGATAACTCTCCATCATATCTAGAAGCAAACCTTCTCTCCATTGAAAATTGCTTCTTGCTTGGGCCCAGTGGCTCACACCTATAATCCCAGCACTTTGGGAGGCTGAGATAGGAAGATTGCTTGATCCCAGGAGTTTGAGACCAGCCTGAGAAACACAATGAGACCCCATCTCTGCAAAAATATTTTAAAAATTAGTCAGGCTTTGTGGTGTGTGCCTGCAGTCCCAGGTACCTTGGGAGGCTGAGGTGGGAGGATCACCTGCTTTTGGGAGGTCGAGGCTGCAGTGAGCCATGATCGATCAAGCCTTTGCACTCCAGCCTGGGCAACAGAGAGAGAACCTGTCTTAAAAAAAAAAAAAAAAAAAAAGTTGCTTCTTGCCAGTTGGCAATCAAATTGAAGCATCGTAGAACAGAAAAACAGAAGGACAACATAATGTGCAATAAGCTAATGCTTAATTATTTAATCAAGTTTAGAGTCCATAAAACCAAAACACATGCATATTTAATTTTTATTCACATGCCACCTCATAAACCCTCCATAGAAGTATACAAAATGTCTATTTGAAACATAGATTGGGGATATGGCTTTGCATGTACATATAGACACAAAGCTTGTATTTTCTTGGGTATATTCAATTCTGGGAATTTGCAGGGAACCCACGTAAAATGTTTTGATCTACTCTGATTACGCTGCCTGGACAGTAAGAGTCCTCAGTTTCAGTTGTATAAAATTAGGACTCCATTCAGTTGGCCTACACAACATAATAATAGAAAAAAATGGTCTGGGCATTTGTGGCTCACTTTTGCTACCTGCCATTTTGTGCAATCGACTGTTGAAGCTGCTGTCCCAAATGTATTCCCTACATTGATTTATTTCTCTTGTATTATAGAGTTATGATATTTCTCTCTTCTTTTTGCAGCTAGGTTGTCTTCTTTTTAAAATGCACTTGTGAGCATTTAAACTAATCAAGGCAACAAATCAATCTGTAACACCTTGAGAAATTCTTCCAGGTTGAAGCAAACGGGGTGCCTATGACAGACTCTTCTATGATAAGGTGTCCCCACCTGCCTTAGGGTATGGCACAAAGTGTGTGTGTGTGTGTTCTGTCTATATTGGTCCTCTCTCCATGCTGTTTTACACAGAAGGCAGTAATTTCAGAGGTAACAATCAGAAGTAAATTCAATAGCCCCAATATAATTCTAAATGAAATACAACTGTAAAATTTCAGAAAACTTTAGACCCTTAAATAGCTAGAATATTCAAAATACACAATGGCCCTGTATTTTAAAATTTCTTGATTCATTCCTCATAAATTTCTTCTTGCTATTAACAGATATCCCCTTTGGCAGGTCAGATATCACTAGTTTGGTCATCTTCATTTTTATTAACTCCTAAATCAAGCCGTTTCCACAGCATGCTGTGGATTCCTGCATTAATCTGAATTCATCTTTCTCAAACAGGTCTCTGTCCCTTAAACTCTAACCTCAAATGACAGCAATTTTGGGAGGTGATGGAAGTGTTCCACATCTTTATTGGGTGGTGTTGGTGATCAAACTCCATATGTTTGTCAAAACTCATAGATATGTGCATTCAAAGGGATGGATTTTACTGTGTATAAGTTATACCTCAACAAATCTGACTTAAATAAAAAGAAGAGCTCTGAACAGACAGTTTCCATTTACATGAAATTCTAAGTCAGACAAAACTAATCTACAGTAAGGTTCTCAACCTCAGTGCTACTGACAATTTGGACTGGATCGATCTTTGCTGTGGGCAGGGCAGCTTTATGGGAATGCAACCTGTGTAGCGGCAGCTCTTTGAAGGGGCCTGTGCTTGGCTTCATGCTCTGCTGTCACCATTTAGAATTTAAGTATTTGACCTTTATTTTATTTTATTTTTTATTTTATTTTATTTTATTTTATTTTATTTTATTATTTTGATATGGAGTCTCGCTCTGTCGCCCAGGCTGGAGTGCAGTGGCGCAATCTCGGCTCACTGCAAGCTCCGCCTCCCGGGTTCACGCCTTTCTCCTGCCTCAGCCTCCCGAGTAGCTGGGACTACAGGCGCCCGCCACCACACCCTGCTAGTTTTTTGTATTTTTAGTAGAGACGGGGTTTCACTGTGTTAACCAGGATGGTCTCTATCGCCTGACCTCGTGATCCGCCCGCCTCAGCCTCCCAAAGTGCTAGGATTACAAGCGTGAGCCACCGCACCCGGCCAGTATTTGACCTTTAAACTTGTATTTTGTAAGTGAAATCCAGTGGGACGATGGAACGCGCACATGCCCAGGTGTCTTCGTGGGCATGTGCAGGGTCAAGTCCATGAGCACAGCCAGCAGCCGGTCAAGTCCATGAGTGCAGCCAACATGAGCACAGACCAGCTGGCAGGCGGCCCAGTGCCTGCATGTGTGCCCGCAGTAGTCTGGAGTGCTGTGATGCCCCGAAGAGGAGGCCAGGCCTGGGTTGTTGGTGGTGCCACAAAAACTGCAGGTGGTGGCAGTGGCCATGACTCCAGCAGAGAGGAGGGGTGCTGCATGGGGGCTGGGTTAGGACCAACAGTGGGAGAACAGCTTGCCTGTCTGTCGCCAGAGCCCATCATCGCATCAGCTATGCAAACGTGAATTCTCCAGTTCAAGTATCAGGACAGGAACTGCTAGCACTCAGGCAGTAAACTTTGTCAATAAATTATTACAAAATAAAAACATACAAAAACGGGCATTGCAATAAAGCATATCATGGAGTTATTCAACTTCAAAGAATTTAGAATCTCTTGTTATGCAAACTGCAGCAACATTGGAAAACAAGTATCCACAGGCTTAGATATAAATATGAAAGACTGTTATATTAGATGAAAAAGATCATTGTTTTTATATGAAGCAGCAAGTGAGCCAATTGTTAATGAGGAAGACATTTTTAAAATTATTATTTTCTTGTAATTGAATGTACAGTGACAGAATGTATAAACAAGAATTTTGAATTATGTACAAATCATGAAGCCACTTTTGGCTTCCACAAGTTACAGAAAATGTCAGGAAACACTAAAATGCCATTGTATAAATTTATACTTAAATTCAGACTTAGATAAAACTGATTTGTATGAAGAGTTAAATCTTTTTAGAAAAATTGTCCTATGAGAATCATAATTTCTGCATATACTAAAATATATATATTTTGAAATAAATTATCAGAAATGTATCCCAATGTTGTCACAGCCTATAAAAATCTCTTAATACCTTGAGTAACAGTTACATTAACAGAATATCCATCTCAAAATTAAAAATATCACAAATTATTTGCAATCTTGCATTTGCCAAGAGTGACCAATGACACTTTCAATTCTATCAATTATAAATGAGGTCGCTAAAATGATCTGCATAAACGCAAGCCAGAAAAATCTTATAATCAACCAGGATCACATTAATAAAGTGGTATTATTTATTGTGTTATATAAAGTTATGACATCAAAATATGTTTTTGCAATTTGTGAGTTTATATTGTTACTCCCGTGTTACTAGTACCCTTGACGTTTAATGAGTCATACAGGTCACCTTTTCCTTGATGGCAAAATGAGGGCTTACATAGAAGGTTTCTAACACCCCTTCTAGCTCTTAGATTATATGATTCACCCATCAATAGATGTCAATTATAGCCTTCAAAACTCAGCTAAGGCCAGGCACGGTGGCTCACACCTGTAATCCCAGCACTTTGGGAGGCAGAGGCCGGTGGATCACGAGGTCAGGAGATCTAGACCATCCTGGCTAATACGGTAAAACCCCATCTCTACTAAAAATATAAAAAATTAGCCAGGCGTGGTGGCGGGCATCTGTAATCCCAGCCATTTGGGAGGCTGAGGTAGGAGAATCATTTGAACCCGGGAGACAGAGGTTGCAGTGAGCCAAGATCACGCCACTGCACTCCATCCTGGGTGACAGAGAGAGACTCCATCTCAAACAAACAAACAAACAAAACAAAACTCAGCTAAAACCCAGCTTCTTCAAGGTGTCTACACATCTTTCTGTCGATCTGAGCCTATGGTCAGCATTTGCCAATAGTGTGTACATGCAGATTATAGCTAATGATTTGATTGCTTATTTTGCTGAGTGGACCATACAAGACTGAACTGTCTTTTAAAAATACTCTATTTGGAAACGAGCTCATAAGAACTTTTAATCTCAAATATGTACCATTCACATCCAGAAGAGAGAAATGCCTGTGATTAGAAACTGTGGATCTATTGGCACATTGTAGGCAGCAAACTGGGTTTATAAGATGAGGGGCAGGGGGCTATAACCCATGCACTACCCATTGATACACTCCTGACTCTACATGAAGCCACTTATGTTGCTGAGAAAAGTCAGCTTCAGAACAATAGCTGGCACCGTACTTTTGGCAGGGAGACAAATCATATCATCAGCAAGTCAACCATGGTGGACCTATACTGCAACACCAGGCAACTTTAATAGGTTTTAGTTGGGCTTGACAATTTCTATGGTTTAGTTTGAATTTGCCATCCTTGAAACTAAGGCCTAACCGGAAACTATAATTATGAAAACCCACATTATTTATCAGATCATATCCATAAATTATATGGTAATATATCAGGAAATACATTTACTGGGTGATTGAATAAATCTGGTTGACTAAGCTAGAAACAAGGAAACATGCATCCTTAACCATTCCCTTTAACTATCCTGTCCTTCAGTTGATCACCAGTTTTTTTGGGTGATACTTCCTGAAGAGCTAGATATCTGCCACTTTCTCCTCATCCTCACTGCCATTAACTTAGTTCAAACTACCAACACCCCTGACCTTGACTATTGTTAAATGTTCTTAACAAGTTTGACCCAACCCCAGGCCTCTTAAGAACACAGCAGCAGAAAGTGACCTTTCTAAAATGTTACTTCCCTGCTTAAAACTCTTTCTAGATTCCCATAGATTCCAAGAATACTCCTTAGCATAACCTATATTTCATGACCTTGCACTGCAAGGTGCAAGGCAAAGGGGAAGCAGTCACATCTTACATGCTGCAGCAGGAGGAAGAGAGTGAATGGGGAGGTGCTACACACTTTTAAACAATCCGATCTCATGAGAACTCACTCACTATCACGAGAACAGCAAGGGGGAAATCTGCCCCCATGATCCAATCACCTCCTACAAGGCCCCTCCCCCAACATTGTGGATTACAATTGGACATGAGATTTGGGCAGGGACACAAATCCAAACGTTATCAGACCCCATCAGGTACCCCCCATGTTTTCCCTATGGCACCCCATACTGTTATAATTATCTGTTTATTTGTTTGACTGGTCTATGGAGCCATTGAATTTGGTTTTGATTTCTCCACCAATGTTTTCAAATACTGGCAGATCCCCCATTCCTTCTTCCTAGTAACATGTAGGACACATCTCATTGCTTTTAATAGCCTCAGATATTAAAGAACAATCACATCTTCAGATATTAAGAAGTGGCATCCAATCTAATACCAACTTTCCCATCATTTATCTAATTCTCAGTGTCTGCATATGGTACCTCTAGGCCTGGGGTCAGCAAGAGGAATGAAAAGAATAGGTAGGAGCAAAGATCTTTTTATTTAACTGAGGCTGCTTGTGGGTCTCTTTTGATGGACAAATGCCCTGACCTAAATGCCTTCTCTCTCATAGGGTAGATTTGTGGATTCTTGGGTGATCCTCCTGGGGATCATCGACTGACTGGACGTTCGCTCTGCTATAAACCTCTTCACTCCTTAGCTTCTGCATTTCAGCAGAATACTCCCAGAGTTCCCTTACCCTGAGGATCAGTCCTCTCAAACTGGATGACACTAGTTGGCTACCTTTCTATAGAGTCCACCTGTCCCATCAGTAAATTTTTGTATTTTTAATCCAGCAAACTCCGGAAGTATAGGCCATTTCTATTACAACCATCTCTTTTTCAGGCCATTGCTGTATTCTCCACCAGTCTCCAGATGAGAATTACAACAATTTCCATACAGTTGAAGCCCAGGGGCACCACTTATTGTACTCCTAGAACCTCGCAGCTCTAATTTGTATTGAAGGGTCAGTGGGTATTTGTCCCTTATGGGGCAAGAAGGAGAATCACCATAAAACTCTCTACTCCTAAGAATTAACTTCAAATAAATTCTTTTTTTTTAAATGAGGCTTCTCTTTTATTTTTTTTTTTTTTTACTGATTGGACAGTAGATTTTTCTTTTTTAAATTTTTTATTTTCATGTGTATGTAGTTGGTGCATATATTTAGGGGTACATGAGATGCGAAATAAGCATGTAAGGGAGAATGGGTTATCCATCGTCTCAAGCATTTATCCTATGAGTTACAAACAATCCGATTATACTCTTTAAGTTATTTTAAAATGTACGATTCAGTTATTATTGACTATAGTCACCCTATTGTGCTATCAAATAGTAGGTCTTATTCATTCTTGATGAATGGACACCTTGATGGTCTTGGACAAGATCTTGGAGAATTATCTAGATTATCAAGCAGAGACTCTTGCTCTCTTCCCTCACTTTCTCCCAAACAAACAGAACCATCTAAAACTATTCTGAGCCACCTGTAGCTGGGGGTGGAGTGACACAAGAACCCCGGTGGCCACCAGCACTATGAGTGCATTGGGTTAGACCTGAAGCCAGCACAGCACTAGGTCTCGCCCAAGGCCTGCTATAACCAGTCCCTGGCTACTGCCTATGTTTGCTTAAGGCCCTGGGGCTCTACAATCAGCAGGTGGCAAAGGCAGCCAGGTTTGTGTCATTCCCTTTTGGGCAGCGAGGTCCCCCAGTCCTTGTGTGGGTCCGAAGGTGTCCAGGAGTCAGGGACTGAAGTCAAAAACCTTACTACTTGGTGCTCTATTGCATTGCAGCTGAGCTAACACTCAAACCACAAGACACAGTCCTTCCCACTCTTCCCTCCTTTTCCAAAGGCAGACGAGCCCATGGCCACTGCCACCCCAGTACTGCCAGACTACCAGAGATGTTCCCTTAAGGCCCAAGGGCTCTCATGTAAGCTTGTGGTGAATGCTTCCTGACCTGGAACTCACCCTTCAGGGCAATGGGCTCCCCACTGGCCCAGGATAGGTTCAGAAATGCTGTCCAAGAGTCAAGTCCTGGAATCAGAGCCCCAAGAGCCTGCTTGGTGCTCTGCTCCATGGTGGCCATGCTGGTACCCAAGGTGTAAGATGAAGTCCCCTTTACTTTTCTCTCTGCTTTCCTCAAGCTGAAAGAGTTTTGCCCTGTAGCCACCACAGCTGGTTTTGGGCTGAGTCTCACCTAAGCTAGCAAGTCTCAGAGGCTCATCAAGGGCCTTGGTAGAACTTAGGTATCACTGCTGGTTATTCAGGGTCCAAGGGATCTTCAGTTAGCAGGTGATGAATTCTGGTAGGTCTGAGTCCTTTCCTTCAAGGCAGTGGGTTCCTTTCTGGTCCAGGGTGTGTCTAGAAATGTCATCTGGGAGCTAAGGCCTGGAATGGGGGCCTCATGACTCTGACCATTGCCCTGTCTTGCTGTAGCTTAGCTGGTATCCAAGATGCAAGACAAAGTCCTCCTCACTTTTCCCCATCCTCTCCTCAAGTGGAAAGAAGGGGTCTCTTTGGAGCCGCCAGCTGTGCAGCCTGGGGTTAGGGGAGGGGTGGTGCCAGCACTCCCTTGGCTGCCCCAGCTTGTGTCTTGGTATGTTGTATGCCTCCCTAGTCCACTGTCTCTGGGCCTAGTTCAGCACTAGGTCTTGCCTAAGAGTTGCTGTGTTTATGGCCTAGACTGCCTTTCAAATTTATTTGGAGTCACGGAGTACTATAGCCCTCAGTGGTGAGGTTTGCAGGCACTTGAGTTCTGACAGCTGGGATCTGCGATTCCCCTCTGGCTAGGGTTGATTTAAATGCCTCCTCTGTGGATGGGCATCAGCTGAGTTTGGTCCAGTTTTTCTTTCTGCTCTGAGAGGACAGCACTGGGCTCAATAACTCACAATTGATGTGTTCTCCCTTCCCCAGTGCCCAGAGATGCTCTTCGCACCATCCTGCTGCTGCTGGGGGTAGAGGAGGGGGGCACTGGTGATTCAAGCCTGTTTTTCCTACATCTTCAGTGTCTCTTTCAGTGATACAAAGTTAAAACCGGGTACTATGTGTGCTTACCTGATTTTTAGTTCTTATGAAGTTGTTTTTTTCAGTGTGGACGGTTGTTAACTTGGTGTCCTTGCAAGGGAGAGCTTTCTATTCCACCATCTTGCTCTATCCAAAAAAAGAAGCTTCTCTTTTATAGACTGAATTTGTATGAAGAGCTTAGAGTCACAGAATTGACTTAGTTGCTTCTTAGCAATTCCTTGCCTTCTCTTGAATATGCAGGCACTTGTCAACCATTGAGGCAGAGACAAAGTCCCACCTGACATGTTATGCCTGTTTGTCTTCCCTTGAGGACTGATCCTGTAGCTTTCTCACCCTCGTATTCCTAATGTGTAGCAGAGAGTCAAGTGGTAATGAATTTCAAAGATTAATAACTAATTACTATACAACATGATACATTTATAATAGTCATAAAGCAATATGCTTTGATACACAAGGAGGGAATGGTCAAATCCACCATTAGGAAAGACTCAGAAATGTAAACTCTTCCCTAAAAATACATGTCCTGAATTACCAATTAGTCTTTAGGAAAAGGCATTAAGTTTTCTTCTCTATTTTTGACTTGTTTTTAAAATTCTTCTGTAAAGGAACATACAGAATCAAAATAACAAAATGATGTGTTTTGAAAATTCTCTACCATCTTTTTAAAACCTCAAAATTCATAAAAATACTCATATCGGGCTACTCTGAATTTAGGATTTAAAACAGGAACAGTTTTAGCTTTAAGTAAATAATTATAAAAGTTAATTTCTAAAAGTATTGTCTAGGGTTTCTCCTGGTTCTGGTTGAAAGTAACAGAAGCTTGATGGATTTAACTTTGGCTGAAAACTGAGTTCATTATAAAGATGACAGTGGCCACCAGGAAACCCAAAGGCAAAATGTAGCTGGATTCAGGATCAAATTAGGACCAGAGACTATCCTAGAATGCCTGATAGAGCCTTGAAATTCTTTACCATTCTGTTTCCAAGCTTCTTCTGTTTTGTAACACCATAGTTTAACAGCCACTGCTAATGATGTCTAAGTTGGCATGTTACTAGTTTCACCACCCTTAATCTTGCTTGCTCTTAGTCTCAGCTCCAACTTCCTGTTTAGATCAGGTGCCCCAATCTAATCAGCCTTGGCTGTGCCACTATGTTCATTATACAGGAGGCAGTTCTCAGAAGTGGGGATGGGAGATTGGACTTCTAACCTAATTGATATCCAGGACAGATATTTCAAAGGCTTGGTTCTTTATCTCAAGAAAACTTTCAACTCAGGGCCTTGGCAATTGATTTACCTATTGAGAACAGGCATTACCCACTGTATTACTCTGAAATAATTTATATTCTCTTCAAAGATGGGAATATTCTTGCTCTTTAACAGGAAAGCTTCATTGTTAGAACTTCCTTGTTATTTACACCAAGAGTTTCAGTCCACGGTTGCTGTTCTATTTGAAATTAGAGAAGGAAAACAACACAGCATCTCCAAATATAAATGAACTTAAAATCAAATTTGAAATTCAACCAGACTCCAAATTTACTGAGCTTCTTTCCTGAAGATAACTTGCAGGGGGGCCCAGCAGGATTATAATCAGAAATTACATTTGACCTAGAAAAAGTGAAATTATGTATTCTTTTTCACTTGAGAATACATATATCAAGTATATATATATATATAATTATAATAATATATAATATATACACACATAAATGTATGTATACTACACACATATGTATATATTATCAAGTACGTATATAAATACATATTCATATATTTGATGAAAATATAAACTTGTGTATTAGCCCATTCTCACGCTGCTATAAAGAAACACCTGAGACTTGATAATTTATAAGGAAAAGAGGTTTAATTGACTCACAGTTCCACACGACTTGGGAGGCCTCAGGAAACTTACAATCATGGTGGAAAGCACCTCTTCACAGGGTGGCAGGAGAGAGATTGAGTGCCAGCAAAGGAAATGCCAGATGCTTATAAAACCATCAGATCTCATGAGGACTCACTTACTAATATGAGAACAGCATGGGGGGAACTACCTCCATGTTCCAATCACTTCCCACCAGGTCCCTCCCATGGCACATGGGGATTATGGGAACTGCAATTCAAGATGAGATTTGGGTGGGGTCACAGCCAAACCATGTCAACTTGATATATATCAAGATTACATTTAATCTTGATATATATAACTTGATATATGCATATAACAGTGTTAACTTTATATAGAGTACATATACTATATAAATATATATATATTTTTATATATAATATGTATGTCAAGTTTATAAATATATCAAGTTTATTTATATATCAATTTTTATATATATAAGCATGTGGCTTTTGGCAATGATGCTACTCTTTTTTAAGTTAAATTAGGCTCTATGACTATAAAACATGACTGAACAGGCTTCTCCTTTGTATTACCATGTAAATGTCAGTGGAACAATTTTATTTTACCACCATGAGACTCTTTATTAGCATTCCCTGTGTTTTCCTCTGGCTCTCCTTCCTCTCCTGCTGTACAGACATTCACAGAGCACATAATTCTAGCCTGTATCAAGGAAACAGTGGATTTCAGGGTCTTATAAATATTGAGAGTGAGGAATGTTCAGAGAAGGGAACACTGGGGGAAGAATTAAAAAATGTCCTGAGTAGTTGAAGGCAAGCATAGTGTTCTCTCTATTCTTAAGGGTTCATTCCCATAAAGTTTCTTTTCTTCATTCTCAGGCAAACATGGCAAAGAACAGGACAGTCTTAGAAGACAGGAGATTCTCAGTGAATTTTAGACAGAAACATACACCCACAGGGTATACTTCATGTATATCTACAATGTAAACAATAACTTTATATATACCCACAGTGTCAAAAATAATGTGTAAGCTTTAAAAAGTAGTCGTGTATTTATTTCCATTAGTTCCATCAACAAGATGCAGTTTTAAATCAGGAATATATAACTATTACACAACATGTAGAACATCCATAATTTGCTAAATGTGGGACTGAAGGCACAACACAGCCTCCAGGTTCTTCATATTTATGAGCACTTGTCTGCATCATCCAGGGCTGAAATAAATAGCCACAAAGCTGAACCCTAATCCTCTAAAGCATCTGATGAACATACCTGTTTGGAAAATGACAGGATAGCCAGTTATTTTAGTTGAATCTTTGCTTTCAAGTCAGAGGGCGTTCCTCATTACAATGGACTTAAAGAAGTGGAAACAGGCACAGAACTTGTTACTTGGACACTGTGTGTAATCTTATTTTATAATTTTTGTCTCCCTCTTTTTTTCAGTATTCCCAAATGGGCAGCCTGAATCTGATTGGAACACAAACTGTGGTTCTTTGTTCCAACACATTTTGATTTTTCCAACACATTTTTATTTTAGGTGAGATCAAGTTGACCTATTTATATTTATGAGGCATCTGTCGCTCCAAAAATCCTGGATAAGAAAGAATGAATCAGACCATGGGACACTGGCCAAGACTGAACTAATTTGCTATTGCCTTCTTGGGGCCAAGACAATACGATCTCTTCCTAGTAAAAGGAGTAAGGATTTCTTTAAAGAGAATGGTTGTTTCACCTGTTAATAATCCCGGGATCCAGCGAAGCTCGAAGGAAGAAACTTGACAGTCTTTGGAGTGGGAAAGAAAGGGAATTCCTCTTCTTTCTGTCCTTGACCCAGAACCTGGATGAATCCTAAAGCAGTTACGGTGGAGGGAGTGATGATGGCAGCTAGCAGAACTCTACTATTGCCAATGGCAATCCTGTGACTAGGCTGGTTCCAGGACTCATAGCACAGAGAAGATCATGGGAATGCCACAAAGAAACTTGGTGGTGGACAAATTTCTGGCAAGTAGGCCAGTGGGTACATATGCAAGGCTGAAGATATTGTGGTATATTCAAATATATAGCTTCATTTGACATCATTACCCATAGACTATTTTGCCCTAATAATGTAAAGCTCCCTTTATTTTTATAAATAAATATTAAATACCAGTTTCTATTTTCTTTAACCCAGAAATAATAGTTATACACAATCTAAACATTTTGATAGGCCGTCCCCCGCTTGGCAGCACCCCTGGTGAGGTCTCATTTTGATTCAAGGCTAGATCCTGTACTTTATTCCAAGTACCTCCTGCTCTTAAAAGACTTGCAGTCTTTAAAATTACATCTCGGGAGGCCGAGGCGGGCGGATCACGAGGTCGGGAGATGGAGACCATCCTGGCTAACACGGTGAAACCCCGTCTCTATTAAAAATACAAAATATT
This sequence comes from Homo sapiens, assembly GCF_000001405.40. Classification (NCBI taxonomy): domain Eukaryota; kingdom Metazoa; phylum Chordata; class Mammalia; order Primates; family Hominidae; genus Homo; species Homo sapiens. The sequence goes on along the minus strand of NC_000003.12, from coordinate 132,897,524 downwards.
AGCCGGGCCTGGTGGCGGGCACCTGTATAGTCCCAGCTACTCAGGAGGCTGAGGCAGGAGGCGGAGCTCGCAGTGAGCCGAGATTGCATCAATGCACTCCAGCCTGGGCGACAGAGACTCCGTCTCAAAAAAAAAAAAAAAAAAAAAAAATTACATCAAAAACTATATTCTTATATGTTCATAAAATAGAAGAGGATATTAAAAATAAAAATGTTGTATGGGGAATTGTTTTCCCTATTGTTTTCCTTTTAAATATTTTAATCCAATATTTGTTATGTGGCATTAACATTATGGTTTCAAAGAATATTTGATGGCCTGGAAGAATATGGTAAGTGAGAAAAAAGTAGAATGCAATTTTGTATATATAGTGTGATTCCAATTTCTAAATGAATATTTCATATCCCTAGAAAACAAGCAATGGAAAGAAACCCAGTACATTTTATAAAAATTTTATTTTATTTTAAGTTCTGGGGTGCTTGTGAAGGATGTGCAGGTTTGTTACACAGATAAACATGTGCCATGGTGGTTTCCTGCAGCTATCAACCCATCACCTAGGTGTTAAGCCCAGCATACATTAGCTATTTGTCCTGATGCTCTCCCTCCTTCTCCACCTCCCAACAGGCCCCAGTGTCTGTTGTTCCCCTCCCTGTGTCTATGTGTTCAAATGAAACCTGATAAATGATTAGTACTAGTTCTTGCTCAGTCGTGCAATTAAGATAGTTTTTATTTTTTCTTCATATTTTTTCAGTTTGCAATTTTTTTAATAACAAGAATGTTTACTCTCGATACAAAAAAGAATTTCTAAAAATGTAGCCTTAAATACTGTTAAAACTCTAGGATATGTATTCTTAAGTGCAAAAAGTAGAAAAAAATAAACGTATGAGAAAAGATTTAAAAGGAATACTACAATTTAAGTAGTAATTGGCCTACCTCCAAAGTCAAGCTCTACATATTAAATATGTACATATGTACAGCTTTTTGTATGTCAATCATTCCTCAACAAAAGGGCTTAAAAAAGGAATTTCATAAAAACAAGAAAAAGTATGTAAATAGTGATTGGATTAGGATGGCAAGATTGTGGATGACTTCTTAATTTCTCAATTTCCTTTAATGTCATTATGCTTCCTTTTTTTTTTTTTTTTTTTTTTTGAGATAGAGTCTTGCTCTGTTGCCCAGGCTGGAGTGCAGTGGCACGATCTCGGCTCACTGCAATCTCCGCCTCCTGAGTTCACGTGATTCTCCTACCTCAGCCTCCCTAGTAGCCAGGATTACAGGCATGTGCCACCACACCCGGCTTATAGATGGGTTTTCACCATGTTGGCCAGGCTGGTCTTGAACTCCTGGCCTCAAATGATCCATCCACCTCAGCCTCCCAAAGTGCTGGATTACAGGTGTGAGCCACCACGATGTTGTTATACTTCTTTTATAATGTAAAAGCCTAAATAAAAATAACTCTTTAATGTACTAATTCTAAAAAAAGTACCGAGTTAAAAATTAAAACAATAAAGACAAATCTAATTGGTAAACAGAGTAAGCACCAAGAAAATTATAGAATTTTTTCCCTATGATAGAAATGTATAGATAATTACCAGAACCGTGCTACCTAGATACAATATTATGTGAGTGAGGGGAAGTTGCCAATTACTAAAATATCTGGAGGCAGGGTGGGGAAGATGAGCCAACACAAGCTTTGGGGCCAACTTCCCTGGGCTTTAACTCTGAATCCACTGCTTACTAGCTAAGACACATTAAATAAATCACTTGATTTTCTGAGTATTGGTTTTCTTACCTGGAGATTGCTGTGATGGCAATTGCTACTCTCAGGGTTGTTGTGTGGAACTCATGTGAATGAACGTACATGAAAAGGGTTTTAACATGAAGCACATCTTTAAAATGCCAGTGGCTCTGCCATTAACTCCTGTATAGTCCCACAGCTGATACATGCTTTATGCTGAAAAAGTCTCTATTGTCCCACAGCTGGGCCGAAAACTATCCACCATGTCAATTCTGAGCAATTATGTAAAGACTAATTTCTCAAACTCCATGGTGACTCCACAATCCTAATTACTCCTGATCCATAATTTTAATAGACTTTGAAAGATTCAAGTGTACATGCAGAAAAGTGCCTAAATAATTTTACATACATGTAAAATTCAATGAAATTTCACAAGGTGAATACACCCATGTGACCATAATCCAGATTTAAAACTAGGTCACTGCCTGCGCACAGGAGCCACTCCTAATCCAGCCACTCCCTCCCACTCACTCCTCCCCCTCCTCCCCACTATTTTGACTTTTTTTTTTAATGCTTTAAGTTCTAGGGTACATGTGCACAACGTGCAGGTTTGTTACATAGGTATACATGTGCCATGTTGGTTTGCTGCACCCATTAACTCGTTATTTACATTAGGTATTTTTCCTAATGCTATCCCTCCCCATCCCCCCACCCCACCACAGGCCCTGGCATGTGATGTTCCCCATCCTGTGTCCAAGTGTTCTCATTGTTCAATTCCCACTTATGAGTGAGAACATGTGGTGTTTGGTTTTCTGTCCTTGCGATAGTTTGCTAAGAATGATGGTTTCCAGCTTCATCCATGTCGCTACAAAGGAGATGAACTCATCCTTTTTATGCCTGCATAGTATTCCATGGTGTATATGTGCCACATTTTCTTAATCCAGTCTATCGTTGATGGACATTTGGGTTGGTTCCAAGTCTTTGCTATTGTGATTAGTGCTGCAATAAACATACGAGAGGTAGAGGTTGCAGTGAGCTAAGATCGAGCCATTGTACTCTAGCCTGGACAACAAGAGCAAAACTCCATCTCGGAAAAAAAAAAAAAGGAAAAGGAAAAAGAAAACATAGGAAGTTAGGGTACTAAGACAAGCAAATCTTTAACACACCAGAAACACATCAAATGCATTTTTACCTTCAAAGGAATCACTCCAGCTAGACTAAGCTACATTACAATTATTAAATAAAATCTTTTATACCTCTTATTTTGTGATCATCTCCAGAATATAAATTTAATTATTATACATCTATTACTGTGTAAGAATATAATGATTCAAAGAACTGAAGACTGAAAGTCAAAGAAAAGGCAGGATTCTTTCCCTCCAGGACAAATACACTTTCAAGCTTTTTCTTGTCCAACATCTCTTCTTACATTTTCCCCATTCCCTTTGTTTTTTTTCAACTTTTATTTTAGTTTCAGGGGGTACATGTGCAGGTTTGTTACATGGGTACATTGCACGTCACTGAGGTTTGGTGTACAAATGATTCCATCACCCAAGTAGTGACAATAGTACCCAATAGGTGGTTTTTCAACCCTGGTCTCCCTTTCGATCCTCCCCACCAGTAGTCCCCAGTGTCTACTGTTTTCATCTTTATGTCCATGTGTACTCAATGTTTAGCTCCCACTTATATGTAAGAACACGTAGTATTTGGTTTCCTGTTCCTGTACTAATTCACTTAGTATAATGGCCTCCAACTACACCCATGCTGCAGTAAAGCACATGATTTCATTCCTTTTATGGCTGCATAGTGTTCCATGGTATATATGTAGCACATTTTCTTTATTTAGTCCACCACTGATGGGCACTTATATTGATTCCCTGTCTTTGCTACTGTGAACAGTGTTGCAATGAACAATCGAGTACATTTACCTTTTTGGTAAAATGATTTCTTTTGACTTGGATATATACCCGGTATCCATTCCCTTTCTAACCCACAGAGTGTGGCAACTGTGAAGTGTGCAATTCAAATCTCCTTCTGAGTGCAATTCAAATATCTACTGGAGGAGTGGTGGTATAGTCAATTTACAGGCCCCAGATGCTGCATCTTGGGATGGACCATGGTGTTTATATCAAGACCATGCTTCCCCAAAGCTGCTCCCAGCCAATGAGCATGGTGGGGGTCTAGAAGTAGGACATTCCTACCTGATGTAGTGCTTTTCCAATGGACCGTCATTTTGTGGGCACTCGCCATTAGCCCAGACAAGACTTTCTTAGATCTGTGCTGTGGCCTGAGGCTCTTCCTACTTAGTCCTTCCTTTCCTCTCTTCTTTCCCAAATGTCAAGCCTGCATCACAGTCTGAAGGCTCTCCCTGCCTACTCCAGCTCCCTTCCAGTCTATCCTTTCCTAACATTTCCCCCAATACATTTCTTGTAAATCTAATCCTTCCTTGGCATCTGCTTCTCAGAGGAGAAACTGATTCACGGGGCAAGTGCAGGACCAGAGAGAAGCAATTATTGTCGCTCACATCAGTGACCTCAGTGATTGGTCAAAGGGCAACCTATGGACCCCCCCAGGACCATTGAGAATGCTTTCTTTCTTGGCAATTGGTTAACCTCAAATAGAATCTGTTAGTGGAGGTAGGGTTCAGAGACAGTAAAAAAGCAATCTCAGACTCGCCTGAGGCCACTGTTCCCTGGCAGAGGACTCTTGTCTGTAATTAGAAAGAATGAGGCCAAGTGTTACAGAGAAACAGGAATGAGAGAAAAGTTGGGAGCAGAGTGGTAGGACCTGAGGGGATCTGGATTCTGAAATCTGGGGACCAGCATCATCCATCATGTCTGATCACAAGTTAGTAACTTTCCTGTTTGAATCTGGTTTTGATCCCTTATTTACAAATCCTGATTATTGGCTACCATCTTTCCATAGCTTCTTTTGATTCTAAAATAAAGCCCAAATTCATTATATTCCCACATTTTATTTTGAAAAATTTTCAAACCTACTGACGATTTGCAAGAGTAGTAAAGTTAATGCCTTAGGGCTTTCATCAAATTTCATCAATTGTTAACATTCTGCTACATTTGTCTTATTGTCCTCTCTGTTTCTGTATGTACATACAGTTTTTGATGAATATTTGAGAGTTAAACTATTTACAGACGTCATACTTCATCCCTAAATACTTCAGCATTTATCCCCCTAGAACAAAGGCATTCTCCTATATAACCAAAATGCAACCACACATTTAGAAAATGTAACCTTGATATATGCATTATCTAATATGTAGTCCATATTCAAATTTCCCTAATTGTCCCAAAACAATGTCCTTCATAGTTATTGGTGGTGTTGTTGTTGGGTGTTATGGTCTGAATATGTCCCCTAAATTCATATGTTGAAATTAATTGTCAATGTGGTAGTATTAAGAGGTGGGGCCTTTAGGAGGTAATTAAGTCAAGAGGGTAGAGCCTCCATGACTGGGATTCGTGCTCTTACAAAAGAGGTTGAAAGGAACTGCCTTGTCCCTCATCACGTGAGAACACAAAAGGTACCATCAATAAAACAGAGAGCAAGGCTTCACCAGACATCAATCTGCTGGCACCTTAATATTGGACCTCCCTGCCTCCAGAACTGTGAGCAATAAATTTGGGTTGTTTATAAGTTACCCAGTCTAAGGTGCTTTGTTATAGCTTAAATGGACTAAGACAGTGTTTTTTTTTAAATCCAAGATCCAATAAAGAATTATGTAATGCTTTTAGATGTCCTGTCTCCCGTAGTCTCCTTTAATTTAGAACAGTTTCCCAGACTTTTTCTGTCTTTTGATACCTTGACATTTTTTAAGAGTCCAGTCAGATTATTTGGCAAAATGTCCTCAAATTGGATTTGTCTGGCTGTCTCCTCATGATTAGATTCAGGTTAAATATTTTCAGGAGTAAACAGAGGTGATGTGATGCCCTCAATGTATTTGCAAGACTGTTTGCTGGCTGGCCCTGCCATCTCTCTGGCCTCATCATTAACTGCTCTCCTTCTGACATTTCAAGTCCCAGCCAAATGAGCCTCTTATAGCTCCTGCAGCCTGCCTCTCTTTTCCAGCTTTTACAGACACACCTCTATGTCTGCCTGACACTCCCCTTCCCTACCCTGCCCTTTGTTCACTTGGGTCACTGATACATATATTTCTGGTCTAACCTTAAATATCACTTTATCCATGAGGACTTCCTTGACCCCTTGGAGTGAACAAGCTTACCCATGTACTTGTCCAATTATTTTTCCTTCTAGACCACTGGTCTTGAAAGTGTGGTACTTAGATTCCTGGGATCCTGAGATCATTTCAAGGGATTCATGAGGTCAAAACTAGTTTCATGATAATATTAAAATGTTATTTACCTTGTTCACTGGATTGATATTTTCACTGATGGTACAAAGCAATGGTGGGTAAAAATACTGCTGGTGCATTAGCAAAAACAGACAGTGGCAATAAACTTACCATTAGTCATTGTATTCTTATTCACTATGAGAAAAAATGCTAGTTTTACTTAAGAATGCCCTTGATTAAGCACTAAAAATGATTAATTTTGTTAAATTACTGCCCTTGAATATGTATCTGTTTAATATTCTGCTTGACAGAATGGGAATGTATGCATTAAGCATTTTTGCTGCTCATTGAAACCCAATGGTCCTCTCAGGGAAAAGCTCTTGATGACTGTTTGGCTTGTGAGCTGAGCTAGATGCTTCCCTCAAGGAGCACCATTTTTACTTGAAAGAACATCAGACAAACTACGATTGTTCAGACTTGACTATTTGGCAGATATTTTCTCAAAAATGAACAAAATGAGCCTGTTACTTCAAGAAAAACAACTCACAGTATATGTTGCCAATGGTAAAATTTGAGCATTCAAATAAAAATCGGAATTTCGGAAAAATTGTACCTGCCTGTACAAGCTTGACAGCCTCCTGATACTTGAAGATTTTTCTGATTTGATCAGTGCTGATATTAGTGAATGTGATTCTTTTTTTCTTTTTTTTTTTGAGATGGAGTCTTGCTCTGTCACCCAGGCCGGAGTGCAGTGGCGCAATCTCGGCTCATTGCAACCTCCACCTCCCAGGTTCAAGCGATTCTTCTGCCTCAGCCTCCCAAGTAGCTGGGACTACAGGTGCGTGCCACCATGTCCAGCTAATTTTTTGTGTTTTTAGTAGAGACAGGGTTTCACCGTGTTAGCCAGGATGGTCTCGATCTCCTGACCTCGTGATCCGCCCACCTCGGCCTCCCAAAGTGCTGGGATTACAGGCATGAGCCACCGTGCCCAGCTGTGAATGTGATTCTTAAATAAATAATGAAATGTGTCAACATTTGAAAGAGCTGTATAACTCAGTGAATCAATGTTTTCCAAATGAACAATGCATGTTGTTACCAAAGCATATATAAAATCCACTGAGGCCCGGGCGTGGTGGCTCATGCCTGTAATCCTGGCTACTCGGGAGGCTGAGGCAGGAGAATCGCTTGAACCCAGGAGGCGGAGGTTACAGTGAGCCAAGATCACGCCATTACACTCCAGCCTGGGTGACAGAGCGAGACTCCATCTCAAAATAATAGTAATAATAATAAAATTCATTGAATGTGCAAGGTAGACTAATGAATTTTAATGTAACTTTAATATATGAAATTGATATGGTTTCAGATTCCATATTGTAGCTAAACTTTAATAAACAATCACTTGTTGAGTTTCAGAATAGCAGCAAAAAAACAATTTTCACAGTTAAGAGCCTATTAACCCATTTATGCCTAGTGTTCCATTATTGGAACGCTAAGCATGTGGCAGTTATTTATATCCTACTGCTCAGGGTCATCACCAAGGTCTGATTTTTCATACATGTCTGCAATTCAAAAATTTGCAACCTCCAGCATAAATGGGTTAAGACCACTGCTCTCTCTTCCAATTACATATCTGGTTGAGGCCAGATTTTCCTTATACATTTCAACCAAATCAACATATTGCAACAGATTAAAGACAGAAGCAGAGATGAGAATCCAGCTGTCTTTTATTAAGTCACACATTAAAGAGATTAGCAAAGTTGGAAAACAATGCCACTCTCCTAATTAATTTTTGTCTTGGAAAATATAGTTATATTTTCATAATCATACACTCTTTGTGTTTACATATAATGGGTTTATTATGCTATGTTCCTTTTTTAAATTTATTTATTTTTTTTGAGACAGAGTCTCACTCTGTCACCCAGGCTGGAGTGCAGTGGCACTATCTCAGCTCACTGCAACCTCTGCCTACCGAATTCAAGTGGTTCTCCTGCCTCAGCCTCCCGAGTAGCTGGGATTACAGGTGCGTGCCACCACGCCTGGCTAATTTTTGTGTTTTTTAGTAAAGATGGGGTTTCACCATGTTGGTCAGGCTGGTTTCAAACTCCTGGCCTCAAGTGATCCGCCTGCCTCAGCCTCCCAAAGTGCTGGGATTATGGGTGTGAACCACCACACCCGGCCATATTATGTTATCTTTAAATGAATGGATAAATAAATGTTTTTAAAATGTCCTAGTTTTAATTTCTATTACAATAAATATTAATAGCTATAACCTACATAGCCAGAAGCTCTTGGGGGTCCTCAACAATGTTTAGAGTGTTATAGGGTCTGGAGATTTAAGTTTGAGAAGTGCTGTTAAACTAAAAGTTCTGTGTGGGCAGAGGCCGGGTCTGCCTTGTTTTGTTCACGGCTATTGTCTATGTGGCGGATATTTGAAAAATGGCTAACAGTATTTGCTGGAAAAAGCAATTAACTTACTGAGTGAATAAATGGGTGAATGAATGATACTTAAAATGGAACTTGCAAGGCAATACAGACAGAGGTAACAGTCTGACAAAAAAGACCAGCATCAATTAAGGATTTTAGGATAATAGCGAGCAATTAAATGTGTAGAGCAATGAGCACCATGGCAAAAACTTAGGCTACGAACTTAATCCTGAGTTCAACTCCTGGCTCTAACCCTTATTAGCAAAGTCACCTTGGACAAATTAACCATTCTGAGCAAATGAAAGCATTCTGACAAATGAAACCATTCAGTCCGTCAGCTGAGTGCACTAATGCAAGTTACGACTTTCTGTGCCTCCATTTTATTTTTTCTTTTCTTTTCTTTCCTTTTTTTTAAATTATATTTTAAGTTCTGGGATACATGTGCAGAACGTGTAGGTTTGTTACATAGATGTATATGTGCCATGGTGGTTTGCTGCACCCATCAACCCATCATCTACATTAGGTATTTCGCCTAACGGTGTCCCTCGCCTAGCCCCCCACCCCTGCCGACAAGCCCCGATGTGTGATGTTCCCATTCCTGTGTCCATATGTTCTCATTGTTCAACTCCCACTTGAACAATGCGGTGAGAACATGTGGTGCTTGGTTTTCTGTTCTTTTGTTAGTTTGCTGAGAATAAAGTGAAGATAATAACAGCACCTACCTCATAGTAGTAAAGTGCTTAGAGCTGTGCTGTCCAGCATGGCAGCCACAGCCACATGTGGCTACTGAGGCTTGAAATGTGGCTAGTGCAACATTAGAAACTAAAATTTTAACTCTTTTAATTGATTGAAAGTGAAATCTAAAATGTTAAATCCAAGGAATTTTTAACAATTTGGATGAGAATAGAAAAGGAAATGACTTTTTGTTACTTGATTCTTCCCAATATGTTTGTAACAACTTGGGTGTGTAATCTACTTTTTTTTTTACCGTGCATTTTTAAAAATATAAACACAGTATTTATTGTGTTGATTTCATTGGAATTCAAATATTTCCAGTGAAAGTTTAGCATCCAAATTGAGATATGTTATAGGTGTAAAATACACACCAATTTTAATGACTTAGTGCCAAAAAAAAGGGAAGAAAATGTGAAATATCTCATTAATGATTTTTTATGTTAATTACATGCTCCTTGACAAAATATTTTATTAAAATCAGCTTCACTTGTTTCTTTTTACTTTTTAATGTGGCTATGAAAAACGTAAAATTACATATGTGGCACACATATTTCTATAGAACAATACCTTAGCACATTGTAAGCACTATAAAAACAGCTAGCAATCATTGTTTTATTATTTGTACTATAGAGATAATATTTATCCTACAAAATCCTATAAGGATAAAATGAGATATTGTTTAAAGCTTTTAGTGCAGTGTGGGGCACATAATAAAAGCTCAGTAAATGGTACCTTTCATTGGTAACTAGAGAGGGCATCGTGTGTTCATAGGAGACTGCTGGTCGATGACAGAACTGGAAGGCTGAGTGGGGGTTGTATAATAAAGTTTTGAAAATCAGGCTGAGAAGTTGAGGCTTAATTATCTATGCAACTGAGAGCTAGTGAAGCACATGATCTGAGATGTGTTTTAGAAAGATAATTCTGACAGCATGTATCCTCACAGGGAGGATGTGAGTTTTGAAAACAGTTCTAAGCCATTTGGAGCAGTCTGCTGAGTAGGTTGGGTGATCATGCTGGGAAACGCTGTCTGGGGTCACAAACCAAGTCTTAGTTTGAGTGATGAGTCTGGTTTCATGGGAGCTCATAATCCAGCTTCATGGGTGATTCCGAAAGAGAAGTTTCACAGGCATTTTTGAAAACCAACCGACAGCATCACTGGCTTAAGTAAATTGCCTTCCGCTTTGACTATTCCAATGCGTATATTTTGGTGTATTTATACAAACAAGCAAATAAATGTCTCATTACATTTTAGTTTATTTGTGTACTCTAGATAAAAGGCTCTTTTGTTATAGTTTTGGTAAGAAAAGTCTCCTGATCTCAAACACCCTAATGAGTGCTTTAAGTTCCTTTTTTTAAAAAATTATTATTATTATGGATATCTATTAGTTGTACATATTTATGGGGTACATGTGATATTTTGATACAAACATACAATGCATAATGGTCAAATCAAGGTAATTGGGGTATCCACCACCTCAAGAATGTATCATTTCTGTGTGATAGAAACATTCCAATTTCACTCATTTAGTTATTTTGAAATATACAATAAATTGTTTTTAACTATAGTTACCCCATTATACTATCAAACACTAGATCTTATTCCTTCTATAACTGTATTTTTGTGCCCATTAACCATGCCCTCATTATCCCCCTCTTCCCACTGCCCTTCCTAACCTCTGGTAACCATTATTCTACTCTCTATGAGTTCAATGTATTTTTTAGTTCCCACATATGAGTGAGAATATGTGATATATGTCTTTTGGTGCCTGGCTTATTTCACTTAACATAATGTCCTCCAGTTCCATGAATGTTGTTGTAAATGACAAGCTTTCACTCTTTCTATGGCCGAATAATATTTCATATATATATATATACATAACACACACCCACACACACACACACACCACATTTTCTTTATCCATTCTTCTGTTGATGGACACTTAGATTGATTCCAAATCTTGGCTATTGTGAATAGTGCTGCAATAAACGTGGGAGTGTAGATATCTCTTCAATATACTGATTTTATTTCGGGGGGTTTATACCTAGCAATGGGATTGCTGGATCACATGGTAGTTCTATTTTTAGTTTTTTAGAGAACATCCAAACGGTTCTCCACAGTGGCTTACATTCCAACCAACAGTGTATGAGGGTTCCCCTTTCCCCACATCCTTGCCAGCATTCATTATTGCCTGCCTTTTGGATACAAGCCATTTTAACTATGGTGAGATGATATCTCATAGTGGCTTTGGTTTGCATTTCTCTGATGATTAGTGATGTTGATAACTTTTTCATATCCTTATTGGCCATTTGTATGTCTTCTTTTGAGAAACGTCTGTTCAAATCTTTTGCCTTTTTTTGCCCAGGCTGGAGTGCAGTGGTGCGATCTCGGCTCACTGCAAGCTCTGCCTCCCGGGTTCACGCCATTCTCCTGCCTCAGCCTCCCGAGTAGCTGGGACTACAGGTGCCCACCACCACGCCCAGCTAATTTTTTGTATTTTTAGTAGAGACGGGGTTTCATCATGTTAGCCAGGATGGTCTCAATCTCCCGACCTCGTGATCCACCCGCCTCATTTTCCCAAAGTGTCTTTTGCCCATTTTTTGGACTGGATTATTTGTTTTTTCCTCTTGTTTGAGCTGCTTATATATTCTGATTATTAATCCCCTATCAGACGGGTAGGTTATAAATATTTTCTCTCATTCTGTGGGTTCTCTCTTCACTTTGTTTCCTTTGCTGTGCAGAAGCTTTTTAACTTGATGTGATCCCATTTGTCCATTTTTGCTTTGGTTGCCTGTGCTTGTGGGTCATTACTCAAGAAATTTTTGCCAAGTCCAATGTTCCAGAGAGTTTCTCCAATGTTCTCTTGTAGTAGTTTCATAGTTTAAGGTCTTAGATTTAAGTCTCTAATCCATCTGTATTTGATTTCTGTAAATGGTGGGAGATGGGGTCTAGTTTCATTCTTCTGCATACAGATACTCAGTTTTCCCAGCACCATTTATTGAAAAGACTGTCCTTTTCCCAATGTATGTTCTTGGCACCTTTATAAAAAATGAGTTGATTGTAAATGCATGGATCTATTCCTGGGTTCTCTATTTTGTTCCATTGGTCTCTATGTCTGTTTTCATGCTAGCACCATGCTGTTTTGGTTACTCTAGCTCTGGGTATAATAGAAGTCAGGTAAGGTGATTCCTTCAACTTTGTTCTTTTTGCTTAGGATAGGTTTGGCTATTCTGGGTATTCTGTGGTTCCATAGAAATTTTAGGATTATTTTTTCTATTTCTGTGAAGAATATCATGGGTATTTTGATAGGGATTTCCTTGAATCTGTAGATTGCTTTGGGTAGTATGTACATTTTAACAATATTGATTCTTCCAGTTCATGAACAGGGAATATCTTTTTATTTTTTCTATGTCCTCTTTAATTCCTTTCATCAATGTTTTATGGTTTTCATTGTAGAGATCTTTACTTCTTTGATTAAGTTTATTCCTAGGGATTTTATTTTATTTGTAGCTAAATTTGGGATTACTTTCTCAGTTTCTTTTTCAGATTGATCATTATTGGCATATAGAAATACTATTGATCTTTGTAAGTTGATTTTGTATCCTGCAATTTCACTGAATTTATTTATCAGTTATAATAGTTTTTGATGCAGTCCTTAGGTTTTTCTAAATATAAGATCATATCATCTGCAAACAAGGATAATTTGACTTCTTCCTTTCCAATTTGGATGCCCTTTTATTATTTTTTCTGTTGTCTAATTGCTATTGCTCTGGCTAAGACTTCTAGTACTATGTTGAATAAAAATGGTGAAAGTGGGCACCCTTGTTGTGTTCCAGATCTTAGAGGAAAGGCTTTCAGTTTTTCACTGTTCAGTATGATGCTAGCCGTAGGTTTATTGCACATGAATTTTTTTTATCATGTTGAGGTCTGTTCCTTCTATATCCAGTTTTTTGAGAGTTTTTATCACGAAAGGATGTTGAATTTTATCAAATGCCTTTTCAGCATCATTGAAATGATCATATGATTTTTGTCCATCATTCTGTTGATAAGATGTGTCACATTTATTGATTCGCATATGTGGGATGAATTCCACTCGGTCATGAAGAATAATCTTTTTAATGTGTTGTTGAATTCAGTTTGCTAGTATTTTGTTGAGGATTTTTGCATCAATGTTCATCAGATACATTGGCCTTTAGTTTTCTTTTTTTGTTGTGTCTTTGTCTGGTTTTGCTTTTTCTTTTGTGTAAATAAACCCACCCTTCCCTAGGAAATCCCCAGGTCCCTAAAGAAACAAAATTGATATCCTATAGTCAGCACTGCCTTTAGCTCCAAGCAAAAGTAGCCCCTGTCCTAGGCCCCACATTTTAGAGGGTTCTGGGATGGCCCTTCTGTTGTACTTCTCTCCTTTATTAGTTATCTAATTCTGCATTAAAAAATCACCATAAAACTTAGTGGCTTACAGTGACAATAGTCATTTATATGTGAGACAATAAAGTTCTCTTTTTAAGCCACCCTGTTTATGGCATTTTGTCATGGCATTCCAAGCAGTCTAATATGCTTGTGCTCACAGGACAAAATGGAAGCAGGGATAGGAAGTACAGTGTCAGTGAGCCACAGGCTGGGGCCCTCTCTCCTCTGCCATATTATTTTAATATGAAATTTTAAGGAATCTGAAAATTATGAACTCAAACTTGACCAGGTTGTTATGAAGGCATATATATATATATATATATATATATATATATATATATATATAAATGTAGTGGGATACAACTTATTTTATCTATCAGTTTGTTGGCATGGTTTTTACCTTTTAGGTAACTGGATATAGGGTATGCAGGCAGCCTCCATTTGTGCCCTTGTATTGCACCTCACAGTGTTAGGGGTGCATAAGATTTTAGTTCACATAGTTTTTTATTCTAGGAAAGAGGAAATCTTAAGTGTGTGCTATGTTACATTACGATTATTGTAATGAACACACCAAATTCCAAAAAGAAGTGTGCTATTACACATCAGGCCCAATGCGGTGGCACAATTTGGGCAGGGGAACTTTCTCTTCCTCAACACATATTTTGACAGAGCATTTCCCAAGACTAAGACTCTACTGTAGGTGTCAACTGCACATAAAAACATTTCAAGGGGACTGCTAAAGTTCTTGAAAAGAAAAGGCTATGGAATGGGCTTTGAAATAAAGTGCTGTAATAGTCACTGTTGGTGCCCATCTAGGTCCCTTTTACTGGGCTGGAGCACCCATCTCTCAGCTGCTTTGAGTGTTCACTGTTAATAGTTCAAAGCTTGCCCCCTGTCTGAAGGATTGCCCATGGCTGATGGGAGCTAACTCACTGGGGAGGTTACTCTCCATCCCCACCTCACCCCAACAGACTGACAAAGTGGGACATCTTTGTGGTGTTATTTATGCTTCACAGTCCCTCGTGGATCAGACCAAGATGAGTCTTTACCTGAGACCACATCTTTGCCTAGCCTCTTCCCCAGCCCTATCCTGGTTCACTCCCTCTCCTTCAAGTTTCTCCTGAGAGCATTAAGCACTCTCTCAATACTGTGCACTTGAATACCTATCTCAGGCTCTGCTGCTAGAACTGACTTAAGACCATTGAACTTGATAAAGTGCAATAACTATAAACTAATTTCTTTCATAACTGCCCCTGGAATCCCATTTTGTGGACTTTAAACTCTCATCTAATTTAAAACTTCTCCTCCATTAGGTCTAAAGCAGGCTTGAAATCCTGCCGTGTGGAACAGAGTGGGGATAGCATTGGCTTCACCATTATTTCTCTATATCTTATAGTCTTCCTACCTCCACCCACAGTGCTGCTCCAGGGGTCCCCAGGGAGTAAGATGAAGCTAGAAAAGGAGCAGAAAAGACGTTTCCTGATGGGTACAATTGGAGTCTGGTACTGATGCCCCCTGGTAGGAGGGATAGCCAAATGATAAATGCTAAATCTTTTGCCTCTGAGTTGTAAATTCCTTAGAGACACTGCCAACACACACACACACACACACACACGCACACACATGCACACACACACACTACACACACCACACACACACACCACACACATAGCACACACACACAGCACACAAACACACACCACACACTACACACATGCCACACACTACACACACATCACACACACACCACACACTACACACACACCACACACACACATCACACACCACACACACACTACACACCACACATCACACACACCACACACACACACCATACACACACCACACACACACCACACACACACACCACACACACACCACACACTACACACACACCACACCACACCACACACACCACACACCACACACACACACCCCCACACCATACACACACCACACATGCACACACCACACACACCACACTACACACCACACGCACACACCACACCACACACATACCACACACACACACCACGCACCCACTACTACCACACACCACACCCCACACACACCACACAAACACACCACACATGCACATACGACACACACCACACACATACAACACACAACACACACACGGGGGTAGATGGGAGATGGCTTCAACTGTAATTCCCTGGTGTGATATTGTCCCTCCCTGACAGCCATTTCTGGTTCCCGTTCCACCCTCAGTTTCTGCATGTAGCAGTACTCCAGCTTTCTCTCTGCCCAGGTCACCTCACCCCAGAAAGGATGATCTCTTGGGAAGTGTCCTTTTCAAGACAACTGACAGCAAGATCCCTTCCATGGGTTCCATATCTTTGCCTCCCACCTTCCCCCCAAAAAGTGACCTCCCTCCCTATGCCTCTATTTTTCAGCTCTGGTCTCTTTAGCTACAGCCTCCCACCTATAGATTTTTCCAGATGTGTATCAGGCACCTGTCCTCATATCCCTAAATTCGAGAAGATGCAGGGTAAGCTCTCTGGGTAGCTTGCTTGACATATCCTTCTCATTTGGTTCACAGTGATGGAGAAATACTTCTATTCCCTGGAAAGTGGAAACTCCATGGACCTCTGACAACTCTCTCTAAAGAAATACTTGTTCTCCCTCACTTAATCTTCAACCTCCCTGACTCTGGCAGAACCAGGCTCCAGCCACTCCCTTTGCAACATGGATGGTCTACATGGATGTTCTAGCTGGTTTAGTGACTCACGTTGGAATGTGAGAGTACTTGACACCTACTGCTATCAGTGCCTCAGCTAAACCAACCTGTGGGATTTTATCATTCTACTGTACATGATAATGATAGCTAAGTTTATGTCATGCCTACTGTGTGTCAGTACTGTTCCAAATCTTTTCTTCTACATCAAAAATTATACCTCAATCCCTACACTGCTCTCTGTGAGCCCCCAGAACAGCCAACACTCATCAGCTGAGGTATTCCTTGAAACATTTCACTATTTTTCTACCTGGTATATCTTTAAACAAAAATGCATGTCAGCAGTTGGCACATGGAGAAAGTCACTACCAGTTTTCCATAAGTTCAAGAAATATTTTGGGCTGTCCTGTGAAAAGTTTCTTTTTCCATCTCAGTGAGTTCTCTAGCTGACGAATGTTCCCAAACCCATATGGCTGCTGATGGTAGGAACCCAGATTCCTGACTACACAGAAAGTGGCCCTTCTGCCTCTGCAACTTTGGGTTGAAGAGCAAAGCTGTGCCCTTGGCCTGGGCACTGAGAGCCTTTCTACATCAAGGAAAAACACTTTTAGTGTTCCCTCCTTATTCATTTGTGTTTGTCCACACTCTCCTGACCTTGAGGACCTTTGTGGAGTTATTACAATGTGAGCCACATTGCAAATGCTGAAGTTATTCAGACCTCTAGACAAGGTGACAGACTTAAAGACGTATAAGCCACCCCCATCCCCAAATAAACAAATAGACTGCTCCAAAAAAACAAAAAGGCTGGTGTGTGTGTATAGATAGATAGATATAGTTATAGCTTTTTATATAGTTATATATATAACTATATTTGTTCATATTTTTTTAAAATTAAAAATAGATTTGTGTTGGACAGTAACAACAGACCACCAAACATGGTCTGAGACAAAGCTGGATTTATTCTGTACCTGGTCAGGGAGAGCCACATTGCCTCCCTCAAGTGTGGTTTCAGCAGGTCTCTCCAAGCAGAAATGGAAAGAACCTGGATATGGCAAAAAGAAGGACATACACCCAGAAGGCAAGATTCTGAGTTCAGGTCTCCGGTTGGCCCATGAGGCAGAATGTAAATTCTTCCTTTCCTTTTCTGTAATAAAAGGAAATCTGGTTTCAAAGAAGTCCACAACTGGTTGAGTGAATTTCCAGTGGGCCTGGGGTCATTCAATAAATGGGCTGAATGCTCAGAGCTTAGCAGTTTTTCTTTAATACACATGCAAACAAGAAAGGGAAATTCCCAGGAATCAGAAACAAAGGAGTCTTTAGATAGTATAGCAGGTGGGAGTTAGAGCTGTGAAGCCCTCCAGGCATAAGTCTTAGTTGCCTGTTAAGGTCTGAGGTTTTGATGCCTAAGCAGGAAGCAGAGTGACATAGGCAGGCAAGCAGCCAGAACAGATCTCTGCACAATGTCAGGGTCAGAAAAACTCTGCTCCATCTGTAATCTGGATCTAAAAAGTAGCATTTGGAAGTAAGCTTTCTGTTCCAGGTCTTGGGTGGAAGTATCATTAGTGAAAAACAGAACCTATGACTGAGAAACATTGGACAGGACCTACAAGATGAACTCTTTGGGCCTGGCAGAACCAGCCAAAAATCCCTTCATGGAGAGGCCTCCAAACCCAGGGCATCCCCAGGCTACCCAAGGAAGATGAGCTATAAGTTCTATGTACTATGCTATAAGTATAAGCTATAATTACTATGTTTTATGGCTTTCCAGAGGCACCACAATAGGAAGGAGTACTTCAAATACGCAGCGTGAGGCCCTCTAGAAATCATACTTTCATTTATTAATTAATTACCTCTGTGTGCCAGGCACTGTGCCAGATTCTTTACCATTTATTGTCTTAAGCCTTCCTAACAACCACATTCTATAACACATCCTTAACCTAGGCAGGGTAGCATTTCTATTGGCACTATTTGCAGAGAAACAGACGAAATCCCACTCTTATCATATGGCTGGAACTTCACCATCTAAGATTCATTCTTTGGGATCTCAACAGTTTTCCATCCCTATGTGCACACACAGCCCCATACTTGACCACAAACACTAGGCAATATAGTACAGTGGAAAGAGCTCTGAAATAGTACCCTATGTCCTGGGTTCTTGTCTAGGTACCACTGTCCTGGCTTTGAGATGTTGGTCAAGCTACATACCTAGGATGGTGTTCAGCACAGAGTAGATGGTCAAAAAAGAATAGTGTGTGTATGTTTATTGCAGCACTATTCACAATAGCAAAGACTTGGAACCAACCCAAATGTCCAACAATGATAGACTGGATTAAGAAAATGTGGCACATATACATATGGAATACTATGCAGCCATAAAAAGTGATGAGTTCATGTCCTTTGTAGGGACAAGGATGAAATTGGAAATCATCATTCTTAATAAACTATCGCAAGGACAAAAAACCAAACACTGCATGTTCTCACTCATAGGTGGGAATTGAACAATGAGAACACATGGACACAGGAAGGGGAACATCACATTCTGGGGACTGTTGTGGGGTGGGGGAAGCGGGGAGGGATAGCATTAGGAGATATACCTAATGCTAAATGATGAGTTAATGGGTGCAGCACACCAGCATGGCACATGTATACATATGTAACTAACCTGCACATTGTGCACATGTACCCTAAAACTTAAAAGTATAATAATAATAAAAAAAAGACATGAATTAAAAAAGAAGAATAGTGTGTAATTCTTATTATTTATTTTGCATTCCTGACCAAAGACTCAACATCCATGGGCCTTACCGACATGTCACAAGAGCAAATGGAACCCTGCTGCATGGCATGGGAGGGTGCGAAAGCACAGCTCTTCACCAGAGAATACCCAGTCTTGCTTAAGACAAATCTGGGACACACTCAGAATGCAGAGGGTGGCAAAATATTTTAACAGTTCACCTTTGGTACCAAAGTCTGTGCTCATGGGTCTGGAAGCTACCTACCTTCCATGAATTTCCCCGCTTCTTCCTATTCCCCTGCTCCCAGCCCAGGGCACCTACTTCAATCTCCGTAGTCGCCATGATGCCAAATACTATTGCCCATGGTTTTACATTCTTCAAAGTGGAGCAATAAGACAGACTAATTCCCTCTTGCCAATATTGACTTCTCAAAGTATAACTTAGATTCGACATGCTTAAAATTCCCTCCCCCATCAGGAGAAAGTATAGAGCAAGGCAATGATGGTCCAGGGACAGAGAAACTTGCCCCATCATGCAATAATTCTACTATAAATCTATAATAATTTTAGAAAGAAATTTTCTGTGCTGATTTCTATAATTTGGGTACAACTCTGCTGTACACATGGGTGGTATAAGGCACCCTCGAAATACATACATTTGATGTAAATTGAAGCCTTGTCTCTAATAATCGTCACATTTGCAGTGACATAATAATTTTGCTTCTTAAAATTTAGGATGGGAGGTGATTTGAAGGCCCAGGCAGAACTATTTAAAAACTATTCCTTAAAGTTGCTTCAAAAGCCCTCTTAGTAGATGCTGAACACCTGCTTGTCTTGGATTCTGATCATGTTTCTCTCTCTCTGAAAAGTATGATTGGGAGGAAAACCTGACCCAGTGTTTTGCTGCTTTGCCTTTCCCTGTGCTTCTAGCTATTCAAGACTCTGCCCACTCTGAGAGTAAATGAAGGCAAACAGACCACAATGAGTGATGGTGCTCAGTGAGCTTCCCACTTCACTGGAAACCATGGAATCAACGCCAGCTCATGAGGACTTTCTCAAAGGCACTTCTCAAAGAAACTTTAAAACAAGCAGGGGATAAAGTTGAGACCTGAAGTTGAGGGAATAAATAAATCTGTGATTAGGTGAGAAGCAAAAATGGAGACAGGAAGTTTTTCAAAGCTCTCTTTTCAAATGGGAGGTTAGCATGGTAAACACACTATAGCACACTTTAGACTGTAAATTGCAGCCATCTTCAATACCTTGATGAAGCAGAAAGTGGGAGGGGATAGCGAACTGGGTTGGAGTCTCAACTCTTCCATTTAATAGCTGGAAACCTTGGGAGAGTCACTTAGCCTCAGGGAGCTCAAATTGCTTTATGTAGAATATGATTATTACGGCTCCTTCTAGCAATATAATTGTGTTCTAACTTCCCTACTCTCTTATATCTAGACATGGTTTAAAAATGAATACCTAATGATATGCATGCTCACTTGAAATGAAGATGTGTAATATTGCATATTATATTCACATGTGAGCTTTGAACTCATTTGACTATCACAAACATATATTCAGGCAAATAAGAAAAATTTCAATGCTTCTGCTTGAAATGGTGAAAATTATCCACCTAAATGGTTGATAGGCACTTGAAACTCAGCATCTCCAAGAATTCCTCAATCTTCTCTTTAAATCTTATCCTCCTTCAACGCTTGTGTCAGCCAAACTACTATATCGACATCACCCAGGCAACAAAATAGAGCCTCTTGGTCTTTTCTCTTAGCCTCCACACCTAGAGATGACTAAGCCCTCATAATTTTACCTCCTCACTGTTTCCAGACTATTTCTCTGAGAAGGGGTGACAGGCATCGTAGCTCAGACTCCCACCTTTGTTTACCTGGACCACTGCCTGTCATCCTTCCCTCCACCTTCCTGTAGCCATTGTCCACAGTAATCATCCTGAAGCACCAATAACTTCTTGTTGAAAACCCTTTGCTGGCTTTATTCATACTCTCCCCTGGAGTTCTTTGCCCCACTTGCCATGTCATCTCCTTTCTGGGCCCTTCATCAGGTTAACTTCTACATATCCTTTAAGACTCATTTCTTGCATGAAGCCCTTCTTTGCTCTCCATTTTCCTGCCATGCTCCACGAGGTAGCCCCACTAGCCCACTACCCTTTGCATATCTATGCTGTATACTCATCGTCTTGAATTGCAACTGTGTCTGCCTCCCCAGCCATGCTGTGGACTCCTTGGAAACAGAGGTATGTCCTTGCATCTGTGTCACCCAGCAGAACTTCTGACCCATATTAGCTACTTAAACACTTTAATTCATTCTTTTGTTTTTCTGGCTGCAGAAATGCCGTTGCTCTAAAGCAGAACATAGCCATGACCCAGTCGCCTAAATCTATTCAGTGAAGACAAACAGAGGTGAATTGAGATGGACGCTCAGGGCCTCAGATACATGCCAGAGTCTTTGTCTGATGCCAGTATCTGCATCTGGAAGATACCGAGTTGGATCAAGTTGATGCTAACAAACTGTGTTTGAGGCAGAGCCATTCTGACAGCCATTTCTGCTTACAAGTGAACATTGTATATGGCAGAGGCTACATTAAGGTAATTATTTTACACAAAATATAATCAATTTCCCTGTATGCTTTCTTTCCAGCAAATGATTCTGCATTAAGCAAAGTTTAATGTTTTGTCCTGCCTAGGTGGCTTTTTCTGGGATGGCAAAAAAAGTGCTCCAGAAACTTGGCCAGAAATTTTCAAGTATCACTGTGTCTTCAGATATTGGACTATATAGATCAAGGTTCACTAGTTTCTATCTACATGGTCAATTTCTTTGCAAATCACCCCCTTGCTTTAGACTTCATTTTCTCCATCTGCAAAATAGAGGATGGATGAGATTATCCCTAGGATCCTTTTTTAGTTCTTAAATTCTACTATTCCAGGATTCTTATTTATTATTTCACTTTTCATGTGATCTCTTGTCTTGAGTCAACTGGTGGTACTGAAATTTAGTGGCAAAATAAATAAATTGGGGGATTATTCCTTGTATAAAACTGATTTATTGTTGTATAGAATTTACCTTTAAATAACAAATTCTCCTTGCTCATTTAAAATAGATTTGAGTACAAGTATTTGACTTGCATACCTTCTTCATTAAACAATGCAGCATTTATTTGTAGGACTGGCCACATAATCTATAGAATTCAGTGCAAAATGAAAAGTTCCAGGCCCATTGCTTAAAAATTAGTAAGACTTTCAAGATGGTGATGGCAGAGCATTAAAGCAAGGTTAGGGCTCTTCTGAGAGTAGGACACTATGCAACCTCTGACCCTGTCTATCTGTGTTGTTTTCCATATACCCATTAAGCAACAAAAGTGTTTGTTAGAAGTAACTATGCCTAAACATTTCCCCAAAACTCTGTATCTCAAGTAAATCCAACAAAAAGGAAAAAAGATGCACAGAAGGAAACATCACTAAATTTTTTGCCACAATCCAACTTCCTTTATGCCCAATCAATGAAAGAGCCCTGGGCTAGAATCAGACACGGGCTCCATGTCTGGCTTGACCACTGGCTCATTAGTGTGACTTTGGGTGACTCACTGGACTTCCTGACCACTTAGTATTCCCCTCTGTAAAATGAGGGAGCTCATTTTTGGCACTAGGATTCTGTGAATCTTTGCTTGTTTCTGATCCAAGGCTTGTTTCCATGGCCATGTAATTATTTTTAACTTTTAATTGAAGTATAACATATACACACACACACACACACACACACATATATATATATATATATATATATATAGAGAGAGAGAGAGAGAGAGAGAGAGAGAGAGAGAGAGAGAAGTGCTCATATTATACGTGGACAGCTTATTGAATTTTTGCAAACTAACCATGTGTAACCAGCTCCCAGATCAAAAAGTAGAACATGACCAGAATCTCAAAAGCCCATCTTCTGTTCCCTTCTGGCAGCCCCCATTGCCACAAGGGTAGCCACCATCCTGATTTTTAATACCACGCATTAAATTTACCTGTTTTGAACTTTAAATAAATTGAATCATACACTGTGTATGCATCTGATTTCTTTAACTCCGTATTATATTTTGAAACTTATCCATGTGTTTGGAGACTATTCACTCTCACTGAGGCAGTGTTCTATTGGACAAATACACCACAGCTGAATTACCATTCTACTCGTAGTGGGCATTTGAGTAGACTTCCTTTTTGGCTGGCCATATTTACCAAAAAACTTCACCATTTCTAATTCTCAAGAATCTGAGGAATGAAAATTAGTTTACTTTCTTTGATTTTGTAAACAATGAGGTTGAAATGTCCTTGTACAGAGGTTTCAAAAAGCTTTAGACTCTTTCTTTAATCTTAGAAGTGTACAATGGGCAGAAGAAAATTTTCTTGTTCCTCTTTTACCTCAACTTCTGCTTGACATTTCACAATTGCAGGTGAGGCTTCCTAGCCTGCAGAAGAAGCAATTGTTGTCATTGTTCATTAGCTTCAGACCAAACTCTGTCAGATGATGATAATAAGACAGAAATGGCTTCTGAGTATATCAGGAGGAAAGCCTTCCTTCCAGAGCTCAGGAAGTCTGTGATAGACCAAACCAGACCAGGGTTTGGGTGCTGGGAACAAATCACACCTTCCAGGAGCAGTGAGCACTTACAGTCCTGGACAAGATACAGATCGGGGGCCGGGCTCTTCAGGCAAACAGGAGAAATACAGTTTCCAGAGGTATGCGAACAGACAAACCTGGCAATCGAGGCAGGAGATCTATGGCGAGGCAGCTCAACAGAAGGTAACCGTAGTTTCTCTCCAGAAGGAACTCAGCAACAGAAGATATGCAAGTTGTCCTTTCACAGTCTGGGCAGAGGTTGGTCTCAGGGAGAACTATCAGTCACCACTGGCCAGGGGCATAATTCCAACCCTGGAAAACCTGTCAAGAACAAAAAAAGACCCAGCAGCCAAGTGCTGAGACTCCAGGCAGGTTACTCAGGCTCAGATAGCCTCCTGGGACCTATCTGGAATTGCTCTACCAGAGCCAGAACATAGCCAGAGTAGACCCAGCAGTAAGATTGAACAGTGCTATCATTCACTAATTCAAAAAACAATTATTGAGCTTCTAGCCATATGTCAGGCCCTGTGCTAGGCATTGGTGGTGAACAAAACACACATACTAATCACATCAGTTAGGATGCTTTTGACTGCAAGTAGCAGAATACCTAATTAAAGTTGCCTTAAACAATAGGGCTAATTAGCAATCTCACATACAAAGCCCGGAAGAATACTGACCTAAAGCTGTCTCCGTAGCTCACCAATGTCAGGACTCTGGCTGAACTTCTTAGTTTCCCTCATGTTCACAAGAAAGCTGTAGTAGTTCTGTGAATCACATCCTCACATGATAGTATTGAAAGTAGGAAGGACTAAAACAACTTCTTACATGTATTTTTTTATTTTTAAACCTGAGAGAAAAAAATCTTTTCTAAAAGCTTCCCTGTTGAATTCCTCATGTCCCCATGGCCAGAATTGGGTCATGTAACTATGACTAAACCAATTACTGGAAAGGGGAATGAGATGAACACAGTTGCTTAGACCAATCATGAAGCAAGCCCTGGGAATACTTGCCCTGATACCCAAACGAACTCACAACTCAGGGCCATGTCAGCAGAAGAATTAGTATGGCTGTGGGCCAGACCATCAAAAACATTGCTGCCACCATCCAAACTCCTGAAAAATGGCTCCTTTCACTACCTTGGGGTCAAGATGGGTCCAAGAGTTTGGAAATCTCTTTTACTCAGCAAAACCTTAGATTCTGTTAAAAGATACAAAACTACAGCTAGATAAAAGGATTAAGTTCTAGTGTTTTGTAGCACTGTAGGATAGCTACAGTTAACAATACTATATAGTTTCAAACAGCTAGAAGGAGGATATTGAATGTTCCCAACACAGAGAAATGAGAAATGTTTGAGATGATACGTAGGCTAATTATCCTAATCTGATCACTCCACAATATATGTATGAAAATGTCACTGTATATTCCATGAATCTGCACAATTATGATTTTTGAATTTAAAAAATGAAATTAAAAAAAAAATTACTGAACACTGTCCCTGGGCAGGTATGTGTCGGATTTAACCCACAATGAAGAGGTCAAAGACCTCCAGCTATGAGTTCTAGAAAGCGTCAGCCATCAAAGCACCCACTTCTTTAAGCTCTACCCAAACAGATTTCTGCTAAAGACCAGCTCATGTTTAATTCAGCCTGCTCTCTCTAACACTGGCACCAGGGGGGTAAAACAGAAACAGCAGCTGCTTTCTGTGCCCTCAGAAGTTTGGCATGTCCTCACTTTAAGTCCTACCACTCAGAATATTACTTCACCTCTCCTTGAGCCTATTTACATTTTTGGCTTAGACAGGTCCTGGGATAGTAAGTTCCATATGCTTCGTACTTGCTGTGTAAGACAACACTATTTTCAACACGTCTTAGAATTACCTCCTTTAAGTTTTTAAGGGTTGCCTCATCTATTCATTAGTGTTTCATTTATTAGAGGCTGGCCTGCAATCCTATTACAGGTTGTTTATTCTTTAGAAATACATTTGAGAAGGAAAAGGCCAGAATAATAATAGTTGGTATTTATCAAACAATTATTATGTACTAGGAAATACTCTTAAGTGCATTTATATGTATTAACTAATTTAATAATTGAGCAACTCTGTGAAGGAGGAATCTTTTTATACTTTTTTTTTTCAGCAGAGGTACAGTGATATTAATTAACTTGCCCAAAATCACATAGCTAATAAGTTGGGGAGTATTATACCACGTATCAAAAGGAACAAGATGTTTGCCTCCCTGCAGGGCTCTTGGGTTTTTTGGTTTTTTGTTTTTTGTTTTTTTGAGATGGAGTCTTGCTCTGTTGCCCAGGCTGGAGTGCAGGGGCGCTATCTCGGCTCACTGCAACCTCTGCCTCCTGGGTTCAAGTGATTCTCCTGCCTCAGCCTCCCAAGTAGCTGGGATTACAGACGCATGCCACCCTGCCCAGCTAGCTTTTGTACTTTTAACAGAGACAGTGTTTCGCCATGTTGGCCAGGCTGGTCTTGAAATCCTGACCTCAGCTGATCCACCCGCCTCAGCCTCCCAAAGTGCTGGGGTTACAGGTGTGAGCCACCGTGCCCAGACAGGGTCTTTTTCATCTTATGGCTTGCAGGCATCTCAGAGGACTTGCTGAGATGAAACAAAATCATATATATTTTCTCTTTTTAAAACTTAATTAATTTTTAAATTGGCAAATAAAAATTGTATATATTTATGTACAACATGTTGCTTTGAAATATGTAAATACTGTGGAATGGCTACATTGAGCTAATTAACATATGTATTAAGTAATACATATGTGAATTACTTATGTGAAGTCACATAACTTTTTTTTTGTTGGTGAGGACACTTAAAATCTACTCTCTTCACAATTTTCAAGAATACAATACATTGTTACTAACTGTAGTCACCATGTTGTACAATAGATCTCTCAATTCTTTCTATCTAATGGAAATGTATCCCTTGACCAACCTCACCCCCTCCCTCAGCCCCCACCACAAATAAAACACGTATCAAATAGACAAAGCCAAGCCTAGCCACGGATTCTTTGCCCCTTTGTCAGCTGCTGTTCTGTCCTTTCAGACTGTGGTAGCACCTGTCACATTACTCAGTGAAAAACATGCAAAGTCTCTCAGGCAGATTGTCTCTAGATCATAAAGAGGTCATCAGAGCAAAGTGGCAATTTGAGAACAGCTGTAGGAACCACATTTCCCTTCCGGGGTGGTTTTTAGAATAGCTTTCCAAGTTCAGGGCAGACATAGCTGTCTCTCCCCATTCAATCACATACCCACTGAACTGTACGGCCTTTTGACTGTCTTGGGTGCATGTCTTGTTATAAGTTCTTTGAGAATTGGGACTATGCCTTAATCACAGGTCTAACAACTCCTTCCCCTGAAACACTTGGTGAAAGAGTCTGCCTTGTGTGTGAGCTCCCTTTCTCCAACAAAACTGACAGTTTTCTGAAAGCCTCTGTGGCATTTCCTTGGCATATAGTCCA
The DNA here is from genome assembly GCF_000001405.40 of Homo sapiens. Taxonomy (NCBI): domain Eukaryota; kingdom Metazoa; phylum Chordata; class Mammalia; order Primates; family Hominidae; genus Homo; species Homo sapiens. The sequence continues at coordinate 132,870,387 of NC_000003.12, read as the reverse complement.
ATTCTGGACATTGCCAGGACTTGGAAACCACAATGAGATACCCCTCCCAAGACCTGGGAGTTCAGAGAAAAACCTAACTGGTGGCTTGTGTTTGTTTTGTTTTGCTTTACATTGTTCTTGTTAATTCATTAGGGCAGAAGGAAGCAACCCTCTCTCCAATTCCCACTTCACCAAACTATTGTGTTTCTAAGAAGTTTGAGCCTTTCTTACCATCACCTTTACCACCTCCAACCCCACCTGATGGAAATCAGATGCTTCTTATGAGGAAAATGGAAGTGCATTGTCCCAGAAGGGAATGGTTGAAGCCTGGTGCTTTGAGTTAGGTGAAACAGAAGAAAGGATGGCACAACCACCAGAGGGAGGTTCTCTGATAACAGAAAGGGTAGCTTAGGGGATTCCTACAAATGGCAGATAAACCCATACCTCAGAGGGAGGATGGTTGAGGGATGTCCTTGGGTCCGGGGCACTAAGTGCCTAACACGAAAAGAGACATGACAGAGCTTCAGTCTGCAAGAAGAGTCCTATGTTAGAGCATCGTGGAAGAAGCAGTCATGGATTTCAGGTAACAGTAACAAAGGTGACCACCAAGAAGAGAGTCAAGTCCTCATTCCTCCCCTACAGTCATGTAAATGCTATAGGTTATCAATATGACCCCAGGGAGAGTAGGGGTTTGTCCTGAAAACGTTACTAAGTTGAATTTGTAACCATCCATGGGGAGTATGGCCCAAGCAAGAATAATTTTTATTTAGAAAAATGTAAAGATGTTTGAATTGTTTTATAATTTAAATTTTTAAATTTGAAATTTTAATTTTAAAAAATAAAAAGAAAATATTATGATGTATTTTGAATCTAGGTGTTGCGGAACAAATTCATACCTACTAAAAATTCAGATTGTCTTCTGAGAGTTAAACTCTAGACCAGGAGTGGGCAAAGTATAGCCCATAAGGGCAAATCTGCCACCTGGTTTTATAAATAAAGTTTTACTGGAACATAACCACACCCAGGCACTTATATATTGTCTATTGCTTTCACACTACAATGTCAGGATTGAGGAGCTGTAACACAGACTGTATGGCCCACAAAACCTAAAATATTTACTGTCTGGTCCTTCACAGAAAAAAAGAACAAAATCTGTCAATCCTTGCACTAGACCAACAGAAAATGGGTGCGGGCAGCCTTCCCCTGAAAGACTCCAGATGGTTTCCCATCAGCAGAACACCTCAGAGCCTTCCTGAGCAGGTGAACAGATTTGAGACCTATGTGTAACATGATTGAAACACTGGATATATATGAGGCGTGGCCTTCTGTCTGAAATCTTTATTACTTCCTGTTTTTGAATTCTAGAAGCTTTTCCTGGAATACCAAGCTACTAGCGTCTCATAGATTGCCACATTTCTAGGTCACCTCATGAACCAGTTGCCATTTTTGATGATTATTTATCACCATTATTGGTCAGTAGTTTTTTAATGCTTCTTATACATTGTATTAGTTAGGGTTCTCTAGAGGGACAAAACTAATGGAATGTACATATATATAGAGAGAGTATTGTATTAGGGTTCTCTAGAGGGACAGAACTAATGGAATATATATATATATATATATATACACACGGGCCTTCCATTACTAGCCCATGTAGGCTGGGAGGCTAGGCCAGTCTCACTTTTCCCATTTTTCTGCTTGCTTATATTCTAGCCATGCTAGCAGCTGATTAGATTGTGCCCACCCAGAGTAAGAGTAGGCACCTTTTCCCAGCCCACTGACTCAAACAGTTAATCTCCTTTGGCAACACCCTCACAGACACACCTGGAATCAATACTTTGTATCCTTCAATCCAGTCAAGTTGACATTCAGTATTAACAATCACATGCATAAAGTACTGTGCTAAGCACTTTATACACATTTCCCACTCAATATTCAAAATAGTCCATTGAGGCAGATGCTACTTTCCCCTACTTTGAGATAAAGAATCGGAGGCCTAGGAAAGGATAGAGAGAAGTGCCAAGGCCATCAGTCTAACAAGTAGCAGAGACAGACTCAGACCTATGTCTGCCTGACTCTAGCTCATATGCTTAGAGCCACGCCTTTTCCAATGTCAAGCTTATTCCTGCTCCCAAGCATTTGTCCATGCTGCAGTTAAAGAAGTGGAAAAAGTCCCTCCCTTTTTCTTTTGTATCTATAACCCAAAGCTTATCTCAAACTCCACTTTCTCCAGGAACCCTTGAAATACTTGTGGTCATTGAACCTCACATCTCTTCACCACCTAAACATAAACCATCTTCTACTACTCTCAAATTGCTCAATATGTGTGAATCATTCTTCTCAACCAATTTTTAAATGTGTGAATCATTCTTCCCAACCAATTTTTAAATGCTCCCAGAGAAGAAATTGTTGCTTAAATTGTTGTTATTATTTTTTTAGAGATGGGGTCTTGCTCTGTCTCCAGGCACTCATGGGCTCAAGCAATCCTCCTGCCTCAGCCTCCCTAGTAGCTAGGACTACAGGCATGCACCACCATGCCTGGCTAATGTTTTAAAAAATTTTCTGTAGAGACAGAGTTTTACTATTTTGCCCAGGCTGGTCATAAACCTTAAATCGTTTTTTAAACATGACCACAGCCCTTGAGTAATTTGTATGCATCCAGAGATACGGTGGAGCTTATATGAAGGTCTGAAGATTGACCTTCTTGTTTGTTGTTGTTATCATTATTTAAGTATCCCAGTTGCTTTCTGGTTTAAAAATAACATTCTCCCACTGGAAGGCAAGACAAATCAGGAAGAGTTTAATCTCATTTGTTGACGTAATCTACTTTCAGACAGAAGAAGTAGGACAAAAGTTTAACTAGTCCTTTGAAAATTTCCTGCTTAGAAACAAAACTATACATATGTGCACACACACACGCATGCACGCACACACACACCCAATAATATGTATGTGTGTATGTATACATATATAAAAACATATACACATATGTATACACAATTATCTAAATGTTTTGTAAAATATTTTTATACTTTATTTAGCTGAAATGAAACAAAAGGTTAACAGTGATTATATCTGGGTAGTAGAAATATGGCTAGTTTTTATTTTCTTCTTTATTCCTTCTTGTATGTCCCAATTTTCTACAGTGAAAATGTGTTAGAGTCAGAAATTAACAATAGGTGATATATTTTTAAATATCCCTGCTTAGTTCCTAAGAGAAATGATAAGTCACAGACACTTGCCAAGATCAGAGTCATGACATTCCTCCAACTACACAATTTTACCAAATATCTTGTTTCTTGCTGGATGTCAAAAAAGTCTGAGAATTCAGTTGGTCTTTGCATGACACTACTGCTTATCATTAAGATTTATCAAACACTCAATCAAGGCTGATCATGAGACTCTGCAATAATTGAGCTAACTAGTTGCATTGTGTCTACTGGTATGGTCTAATCTCATACATTCAAAAGTCAACAGTTCATTCTTAGAAGAGGTTCACACATCGGAAAGTGTTCTAGTAGACCAGCTGAGAGCGAATGGAACACAAAGAAGATATACTTTAATAGGAGAAACATGGAGTAGAGATCTAGGGCCTCAGTGGTGAAGCATTGTCTAGGTAGACTGCATATTGTGAGGAGATCTTTGTGGACACTCCTGGGGACCAAAGCGGTCCCTAAACCCCTAAAGACTTATGGGTCAACTATTGCAATTTTAGGCGTTCTCAAAATATTATGTTAGTTTACTAGTTTCCAAGAGAGATTACTTGAGTTATATGGGCAGTTTTCTCTAGTTTAGGCTTATAAAAAAAAGTTCTTTCTGAGAGAATTAGTTCCCATTCTTCTTGTATATATGTATGTGCCATTTATCCCTGGTGGGGTATTCATGAGGCAGTTCATCAGGCCCATAGGTCAGGACTCTGTTATTATAGACTCCAGAACCAGGCAACCTTAAAATATAGTACATCAGGATTTCTTTCTAAGATTAGACATTTCCTGATCCAGTCAAATACTGACTGAGAAAATAATAAGCCACCTTTTCAAACTTTGCATAAGCAAACCCAAGAGCAGCCTTTCCTATCCCAACCACTGCTAAGCCTACAGTGGCCACTTTCCCAAGAGCTGAATTGTCTATTTTAAGTAGATTATAGTAACTATCATTTTTTTCAAGATATATGTGAATTGTACTTTTTAAAAAATAAAATATGTCAATTAACTGTGGAAAATAGGCTGAAGGAAGAAGTTAGAAGTCTAGAATCTGGAAAGATCCACAAAGTAAAGAGATTCTGGCAATGACATAGCATAGCAACTCTTGGAGACATAATAGAGTTTGTGTTTCAGTTACTTACTGCTGTGTAATAAACTACCCCCAAAACTTGTGGCTTCAAACAAGAGCCATTTTATTATATCACATGATATTGAGCACTTTGTTACCACATTCTTCCCAAGAGGGTTCAATGTCCTTTGGGCTCCAGGCTAACATATAGATAAGAGATATCAGTCAGATTTTGCAGAATCTTAGACTTTATGATGCCATGAGGCCTACCTCTTCATGAGAGAAAAGTTATAAATGTCTCTGGGCTACCTCAAATGGATATAGTTTAATCAAAATTTACAGGGTTTTATTGCAACTTTATATATTCATCTCTGTTTCAACATCTCCCCACCTTCCATTTCATAACAACTCTTCACATTTCATCAGGAACAGTGGAGAAGCCATCAGATAAAATGTCTTTTTGTTAGCTATTGGGATTTGGTAATACCTCACACCTATTTTCAATCATAGAGAGGTTTCTAGAAAAGTCTGGCTTTATCGATATCTCATCACATTAAATGGACAGATGAAAAACAAAATTGTCTAGATACGTAGGAAAAGGCAAAGGCAAAATATTTTAGAGAAGATACAGATTATAACTAATTATAATTTTTCAATATGTGAGGAAATACAGAATGACAGAACTGATAAAGGAGGAATGTTTCCATTGTAAGGGTCAGAAAACTCAACTCACAGTGCAGTAAGTTAAATGGAATATATTGGCACAAGTCACTGGATAGTTTGGGGAGAGACCTAACTGGCTTCAGATTGCATTTGATCCAAAGCCTAAATGATACCAGAATTTGGTTTCTCTCTCCTTCCTCTTCTCTGCTCTTCCTTTCCTGTGTTGTTGCCTTTCAGGGAATCCTCTTCTCCATAGTCCCAAGATAGCTACCAGTAACTTCTGGGACTAACGGTTTCTAGGTCTAAATCTAGATGTGAAGAACCAGTGATAGTGCTCTAAATTTTCAGCAGAATCTTGTTCTCTCTCATTGGCTCTAAGTGAGTCTTATGTTCACTATTAAATCAATTTGTTCAAGAAAATGCATTGAGTGGATTGTTTTCAGCCTGAAATACTTCCTCCATTCTGAGTCATAAGTGGGACCAACTCTTCTGGAAGTACCCTGGATGAAAGGTAAAAAGAGATTTTGTCGAGGGAAAGTTGAAGGGCCATTGCAAGGAGGAAGAAAATTCTGGGTGACAAAAACAGATGTCCAGAGTTCTGGTTCCAGGTAAGATGGTGTAAACACATGCCAACCCTTCTCTCCCACTAGATACAATAAAACCTAGATAAACTGCATGGCACAGGTATCCAAGGTCTCTGAAAAGTGAATATCTGTAGCTATATTAAGAAAGAATACCAGAATTCAAAATAATACCAAATTGGCTGGTGGTGAGTTTATCATTTTTCCCCTCTGGTATCATCTGGCCTGAACTCATTGAAGCCTGAAACACAAAAGTGAGCCCTGTGATGCAGACAGAGAGAGATCCATGAGAATCTCTCTAATTTAGGGACAAAGAGCAGAAAAGAGATATCCTAAAGCACAGAGAGAACAGGGTAAAGCCCCCAGTTATTTTCTTTCCTTCTATTCTCTCTCACCCTAGTCCCCAGGCAACCTAGTGACAAGTACATGGCAAAGAAGAACCAAATGGAAATCATATAACTAAAATAAGTAATAACCAATATAAAAACCCCATGGGATAGACTCAATAGCAGAATGGACTAATTCCTCAAAACCCACAAACTACCAAAACTCACCCAGAACACAACAGATAACCTGCAGAGCCCCATAACTATAATACTAAAGAAATTGAATTTATATTTTAAAACATTCCTAAAAAAGAACAAATTCATACATATTTTTAAAGTTCATAGAACTGTACTCCAAAAGAAAATAAGTCAGTTTTACTGTATGATAATTTAAAGATATTTTTGAACATTTGGAAAAATAAATCTCGGTGTCCAAATGGTTTTACTGGTAAATTCTAGCAAACATCTTACAAAAACATATCAGCAATTCAACATAATCTCATTCAGAAAATAGACAAGGAGGCAATCTTTTACAATTCACTTTACAAGGCCAGAATTACCTTGATACCAAAACCAAAGACACCAAGAGAGAGTGAACTGCAGACCAACATCCCCTGTGAATATAGACACAAAAATCCTCAACAAAATATTAGCAAATTGATCCAATAACATATAATAAGATTACTACACAAAGACCAAAAGGGATTTATCTCAAGAAGCCAGGGGTGGATTCAATATCTGAAAATCAATCAATCAATCAATGTAATCTACCACAGTAAATGTATAAAATAAGAAAAGCTACCTGATCATATCAACAGATGCAGAAAAACATTTGAAAAAATATAACATCCATTCATGACAAAAATGCCAGCAAACTAAGAATACAATGGTGCTTCCTCGGCCTGACAAAAGGCACTTATAAATCCTACAACTAACATTACACCTAAAGGTGGAAGATGTAATACTTTTCTTCTAATATTGGGATCAAGGCAAGAATGTTCACTTTCACCACTTCTATTCAACATTGTACTGAAAATCTTAGCCAGTGCAATAAGGCAAGGAAAATAAATAAAAGGTACACAGGTTATTTAAAAAGAAGTAAAACTCTATTCACAGAAAACATTATCTATGTAGAAAACCTCACAAAATCTCCTAATGCTACCTGCACGTTGTGCACATATACCCTAGAACTTAAAGTATAATAATAAAAAAAAGAAAATCTCACAAAATCTACAAAAAGCCCCTAGAACTAATGAATGAGTTTAGCAAGGTTGCAGTGTATAAAGCCAACACACACAATACAAGTGTATTTCTATATGTTAACAATGTAATGTACAACCAGAAACTAAAAGGTAAAAAAATACCATTTATAATAACTTAAAAAAATAGAACTATAACAAGACATGTACAGTATTTATATGCTGAAAACTAAAAAATGTTAATATAAGAACTTAAAGAATATCTAAATAAATGGAGAGAGATAATATAGTAAAGATGTCAATTCTCCCTAAAAATTATCATTAGATTTAATAATACTGATGAAAAGCAGGATGTTTTTGTAGATATGTACCAATAGATTTTAAATTTTATATGATAAAGAAAATGAAAAGGAAGTAGAATAGCTAAAAATATATTGATAAAGAAGAATAAAGTTGGAGGACTCATACTACCCAATTTCAACTTACTAGAAAGCTATAGTAATCAACACAGTATGGTATTGACAAAGGGACAGAAATATAGATCAATGGAACACATCTATGAGAAAGTCCAGAAACCAGACCCTTATAAAAATTGCCATTTGATTACTGACAAAAGTGCTAAAGAAATTCATATATCTGACAAAAGACTTGTATTCAGAATACGTAAAGAACACTCAAAAACTCAGCAATAGGAAAACAAACAACCCAATTATTAAAATGGGCAAAGGACTTATACTTCTCTAAAGAGGATATAAAGTTGGCAGACAGGAACATGAAAAGATGTTCAACATCATTAGCCATGAGGGAAATGCAAATTAAAACTACTACACAACTACTTAATTGACTAAAATAAATAATCCTGATACTACTTGATGAGGATTGGAAAGCAACCAGAACTCTCATATCTTACTGGAATGTAAAATAATAGCAGCACCCTGGAAACACTCTTAGCAATTTCTTACAAAATTAAACATACGTTTACCATATGAGCTAGCAATCCCACTCCTCCATGTTTTCCCTAAAGAAATGAAATTTTGGCCGGGTGCAGTGGCTCACACCTGTAATCCTAGCACTTTGGGAGGCCGAGGTGGGCAGATCACGGGGTCAGGAGATCGAGACCATCCTAGCTAACACGGTGAAACCCCGTCTCTATTAAAAATACAAAAAAAATCAGCCAGGCATGGTGGTGGGCACCTGTAGTCCCAGCTACTCGGGAGGCTGAGGCAGGAGAATGGCGTGAACCCGGGAGGTGGAGCTTGCAGTGAGCCAAGATCATGCCACTGCACTCCAGCCTAGGCGACAGAGTAAGACTCCATCTCAAAAAAAAAAAGAAATGAAATTTTATGTTCACACAAAAACCTATACATAATTGTTTTTAGAAGCTCTATTTATAATTGCCCCAAACTGAAAATAACCTAATGACCTTCAATAGTATACTAGTTCCTATTTCTGCTGTAACAAATTACCACAAATTTAGTAGCTTGAAATAACATACACTTATTATCTTATAGTGTAGCGGGTCAGAAGGCAGAAATGGGTCTCACTGGACTAAAATCAAGGTTTTGTCAGGATTGCATTTCTCTCTGGAGACTCTAAGGAGGAACCAATTTTCTTGCTTTTTCTAGTATGTAGAGGCTGCCTTCATTCTTTGGCTCATGGCCCCCTTCCACTTTCAAAGTCAGCAGTGGCCAGTTAAGTGTTTCTGACAATGCCGTTTCTTTGGTTATGACCCTTCTGCCTTACTCTTCTCCATTTAAGAACTCTTATGATTACATTGGCCCACCTGGCTAATACATAATAATTCTGCATGTTAAGGTCAGATGATTAGCAATCTTATTTTCATCTATAACCTTAATTCCCTCTTGCCATATAACATAATATATTCACAGGTTCTGGGGAAAAGGATGTACACATCTTTAGGGGGCTATTAATCTGTCTACCACAAATAGGCAAATGAATAAACAAACTGCTGTACCTCCATACAATGAAATCCTATACAAATCCTATACAATTCTATACACCTATACAATAAAATCAGCAATGAAAAGGAATAAACTTTTGATACACAACTTGGATGGATCTCAAAGGCATTATGTCAAGTAAATGAAGCCAATCTCAAAAGATGATATATACCATAGGAGCCTATTTATAGGACATTATCAAAAACATAAAATTATAGTGATGGAAAACAGATGATGGAATAGAGATGGGGGAGGGTGTAATTACAAGGTGATAGCACAAGGAATTCTTTAGGGTGATGGAACTGTTCTGCATCTTGATTATGGTGGGGGGTAACATGAAAGTACACATTTGTTAAAATTCATAGACTTGTAACCCCATGTGAGAAGAAAGTCAATTTTATCAATGATAATTTTAAAATTAAAATTTCCAAGTCATACAACTGTACACTCAACATACACACACACATACACATATGCACACACAACACACACACACACACACAGGCTCACTATGGTGCTTAACAGTATTAAGGAACAGGAAAACTGACCAAAGAGGTTACACCAGACTCTAGCACCAGACTCCAGCACTTTGATAGCGAATTGAAAAAAGCTTTCCTAGTTCCCATCAAAGCTTCCCTGTAACAATCTATCTGAGCCTACATTTTCTCACCTTAAAATAAGGATTATATTAACCTTATTGGGTTATTAAGATTAGATGACAATGTGTATGTAAACATTCTGACACATAAAAGGATGCTCAATTGTGTTAATTTTGTTTTTACCAACCTGTTGGTGTGTCTGGACTCTCCTGTCTTCTTTTTCTCACAGACAGAACTTCAGGGACTGGAATAACCTAATCCTATGAGTGGAGAGACAAATCTTTTAAGGAGAGATAGGTAGGATCACACAAGCTACTAAAGACTCTCCTGAGATGTGATAGTTCCCAACAAAAACATTATGTAAGGTCTATCTATGATATATATTTTATTCCTATTTTCCAACATAAATGCAATCAAGCATTTTCATCATCAACATCTTTACAGATATCTTCCTTGCCTTCCTCTAATCATATCCCCAGCATCTTATCCCTATACTTCCTCCATGGACCTCATAAATGGCTAGTGAGGTAGACTATAATGGAATGGTCATCCATACATTTATTCTTTTGTTCAAACATCACTTACCAAGTATGTCCAATTGCTAGGATTTGAGCTCAACCCCGGAAATACAAATGCAGATCAGCCTTCATCCCAGTCCTTGAAGTGTTCACAGTCTAATTGTTGAGTGTCGCAAGACATGAGATTGGTGGTGGAGGCAGGGGGTGGTAGAGTCTATCACTTTAGATGTTAAAATAGATGAGTTTTCAGTTTAAACTTTGAGAGCTACAGAAAGCTACTCCAACCAGAAATCCAAAAGAATTGAGTGGGAAACAGCATCCAACAAGGGAGACTACCAAAGAGTGAAGTAAAAATACATCTGAGAACAGGTGGGAACTAAAAATATTAAATAAAAATGAGCATCTTTCTTTCTAGACTCAATGCAATTTGCACTTGTCTTGCTCACAGAGTGTGAGGAATGTTGTCTACTTGGCAAATGAAAATTTGTAAAAGGACTTGGGTTTCTCATGGAGAAAAAAAATGGTGTTATACATAAGCCTAATGAGAATAATTATCAAGTGGCTACAACTGATGAGTTATATTATTAATCATACTGAGGTCTAATATTAGCATAGAATTAGAAATGACTTCAGAAAATTTCAAGTCTGACACACTTTGCCTATTTGCTCCACAGTGAGAATGATCATGCATAATGAGACATATATTTGAAGGTCTCTCTGTAATCCTGTCTTTCCCCACTTACTGAGAGTAGATGACTCTGTTAAATTGGCCTTCAAACAATAGACCTTTATAAACATGAGTAATCATGGAAAAGGTGAAGAATATCTATTTTTCTCTACCTGGCATCTAAGATGTTGAATTTGGGATTTCTAAGATCTGATCTTCGCCTATTTTGAAATAGTAAGATGAAATAAAGACCTCCTTGGAAGGTATAATACATTATTATTTACTATATTGCATTATTATTTACTATATGTTGCATAGTGTGCAATATATCTCAAAGAAAACAAACTTATTTCTCCTATCTAATCAGTATTTGAAGTGATGTATGTTAATTAGCTTGATGTAATTATTCCATATTGTATTCATAAGTCATAACTTCACTTTGTGCCCCATAAACATGTACAACAATAATTTATGAATTTACAGTTAGAAAAAGAACACTTTTTAAAAGATTTCCTTGGATGACATTTGACAGTTGTTTTGTACTCATAAGATGTTATCGTTTTTTTGCCCTATATCTTTACTCACCATCATTGTCATACTGATTAGAGAGAAAAATGTGTTTTTTTGGTCAGTGGAAGGTGATTTATTAGCAAATTTAGAAGCATGTAGCAGCACGACAGGTAGATCTTTGCACTGTTACCCCCTAGACCCAGGGCTTACATGCCATATAAGAAGAGCATATGTGCTTCAGAAGTAATGTGTAGGATCACTGAAATTAACCCCTCAGGGAAAGGCAAGAACGCTATGTGCCTCATAGCCCATAATTTGCCAAAAGACAGGACTTAGGTAAGTACATATTTATGATAACATCAAGGTTGTCTTGGCTTACACAAGCAACAGTAAATAAAGTCAAAATCTTAGAGACATTCCTGGGCCTGGGGTTAGTCAGAAGTCAACATGGCAGATTAGCATCCAACATGAAGTGGCATTATCCTGTGTAGTGTCCAGTGTTGTACATTTGTTTAGAAGGGAGTAAATGAGATTGAGCACTGGGAGCAATAGTAGAAGGACACCCAATAGCCCAAAGTTGGAAGGAGCACAAGTGTTCATTGATGGAAGAATGGATAAACAGAATGTGGTCTAAACATACCATGAAATATTCTCCAAACTTAAAAGGGGAGGAAGTTCTGACACATGCTACAACATGGATGAACCTTGAGGACATTATGCAAGTGAAGTAAGCCAGGCAGAGAAGGATAAATGCTGTATGATTCTACTCATATGAGGTACCTAGAGTAGTCAAACTGATAGAGAGAGAAAGTAGAATGGTGGCTGTTAGGAACTGTGGGGATGGGAAGATGGGAAGTTGTTTAATGCGTACAGAGTTTCAGATCTGCAAGATGAAAAGAGTTCTAGTGATGGATGGTGGTGATGGTTTGCACAACAATGTGAATGTATTTTACACTACTAACTGCATATTTAAACATGGTTAAGATAGCAAATTTTTATTTTGTGTATTTTACTAGAATTTAACAAGAAAAAAAGGTTTTTTTTCAAAAGAGTAGTAGGACAAAACAAGGTGAGAATGGTCTCATGAACTTCCCATCTTCCCATCCCCACAGCTCCTGGCAGCCACCATTCTACTTTCTCTATCAGTTTGACTACTCTAGGTACCTCATATGAGTAGAATCATACAGCATTTATCCTTCTCTGCCTGGTTTACTTCACTTGCATAATATCCTCAAGGTTCATCCATGTTGCAGCATCTGTCAGAACTTCCTCCCCTTTTAAGGCTGGATAATACTTCATGGTATGTTTAGACCACATTCTGTTTATCCATTCTTCCATCAATGAACACTTGTGCTCCTTCCAACTTTGGGCTATTGGGTGTCCTTCTACTATTGCTCCCAGTGCTCAATCTCATTTACTCCCTCCTAATCAAATGTACAATGCTGGACACTATGCAGGATAATGCCACTTCATCTTGGATGCTAATCTGAGAATGGTCTCATGAAAGTCTCATGAAATAATGGTCTCTTGGGAAATCTGTGTCCCAAGAACACAGATTCTGCTCATGGGCAGAGACCCAGCTGAGATCTCTCTAGGAGTGGATAAGACTAAGGATCTCCATCATTCAACTGACTCCCCTGGCACAGTCACAGTCTCACCACCAGCCCGCCAAAGAATTGGGTTTTGTGGGGTGGAACTTGGAAAGCTACCAACATTTTGAAACTTGTTATGTTTTAAAAAATCAGTAGAAATGTTTTTTTCTGTCCAGCCAAAGGAAGAGAGTGTCTCTAAAATGAAGGATTAATGGAATGCTGCTAAGAAAAAGATGAAATGAGGAATGAAAACATCAGTGGGACTAATGAACAGTGGCATTACTGCTGAAATAATACAATGTCTTTAAGATGTAGAGGTGGGGTTGAAATCACACTGAAGTAGGTGACACTCTCTTCTTCCTTATCCAGGAATGAGTTGGTTGTTGGAGATTATCAGTCTGATCCACTCCAAGAGAGATCCCAGCTGGGTCCACTCTGTGCTCCCCTGGGATCGCTCACCATGGCTAGAAGTTAAAATCAGATTACATATTTGCCAGATGAGCACGACAAACTCATCCTCTTCCTACTTCTCATTTTTTCTCTCCTCCTCGTCGTCATTCTCTGCTGCTGCTGTTTGTTTTCTTTTTCCCCCATTGTATTTATTTTCATGTCCTCTCTCCTGTGGTTCCCATCCTTGGCCTTGGAATTAAAGAATGACTTGGAGAAGAACTGAGTGGGGAGGACGGAGGTGTAGAAGCATGGGCCATTCTGACTCTCTATACATTCTGGCACAGATTTAGTTTCTATCCTTGGCGAACTATTTAATATTCCAAATGGCAACAGATGAGACCCAGCTGAGATCTCTCTTGGAGTGGATCAGACTCAGGATCTCCATCATTCAACTGACTCCCCTGGCACAGCCACAGTCTCACCACTAGCCTGCCAGCCCCGAGAATTGGGTTTTGTGGGACGGAACTTGGAAAGCTACCAACATTTTGAAACTTGTTAACTTAAAAAAAATCAGTATAATTTTTTTTTCTGTCCAGTTCTTAATGATTTGTGGATTGGGTCTTCATATACTGAAGTAAAACCCAGTAGGGTTCAGAGATTATGAACAAACCTGATGCCAGCATTTTGGTTCACCTTACTCAATGCTCATCCTGCCAACTGCCCTGGTCCATCCCCCTTGTGCCTCCTGGTGGGCCTCTTATCTCACTCTCAGTCTAGCTGAATCCAACTTTCTGCCACAAAGGTTTCTGAGCAAGTTCTCAAATTCTCTCCTCCTGCAGACCCTGACAACATGCACACATCCATAGCACATTATTTAGCATTTAACTGTGCAAAGATACATCTATTAACATGTCAGATGTGGTCCAACAAGGCACAAAGGGACGAGTAAGTAACAGAGAAGGAATGGGGATGTATTCTAGAAAGTCATAATGGTGGAAATGAGGGACATTACAGAGCAAAAATTTAATTATATACTTAACATATATAATATAACCCTTTACAGTCATATTTTTTAAAAGGTTAATTTATATTGACTAAGACAAAGCAGTGCTGTGTGTTGCTATGGTAGCACACGGATTCTGCTCATGGGCACCAGGGCCTCACTTTTATTTCTGGAATAAGAATCAATTTCATCCTCAGCTGAGACATCTAATTCCCAATGTCTAGGCCTTGAAATCGATGAAATGCACAAATGCATCAAATTAATTAAGAAATATTTTAAGATATTACTTAAGAATATCTACTAATTACCACTGCTAAGCTAACAGTAATCCATTTCAAACAGCTATTGAGTGCCTCCAATGGCAAAACTCTGTGGTAGACAGAGGATTAAAGTGGCAGATAAGAGGCAAGACTAGCTTGCACCTCCCCACTTGGACAGAGCAGCATGTGGAGACTCACATTGTGAACTTTTGTCCCAAAAACTACCACAGGAACATACCAGGAAAGCCGAGAGAATCCACAGACCCTTTGAAGAACTGGATCACTTCTATGGGTTCCCTGAGATGCCGAAAACCTCTTAGTCGGCTTGCTTTCTCAATGGGGAGGCTCATGGTCTGGGGCAAGTTCTCAGCCCTGGTCACTGGCTGCCTGCAAATAGACTTGGTGCTGTTGTGGGGGCTCGGTGAGAGTAAGACCAAACTTTAGGACTGTAGGCTGTGTGGGAGCAGGGTGAGGCCTGTGACTGCTGGCTTTCCCCTACTTCCCTGGCAACCTGTATGACTCAGCAGAGGCAGCCATAATCCCCCTGGGAATATAACTCCACTGGACTGGGAACCACAGCCCCATTGCCCACAGCAGCTGCAGCAAGACCCACCCAAGGAGAAGCTGAGCTCAGACACACCTATTCCTGCCCCTACCTGGAGGTCTTTCTCTACCTGCCCTGGTAGCCGAAGACAAAGGTCGTAATCTCTTGAGAGCTCTATGGCCCTGCCCACTGCCTGAGAAACCTGAACCCTTGATCAGGTATCCCCAGGGCAAGTTCGCATCCTCCCTATAGCACCGCAGCTGATGTGCTCTTGAAAGTGCCACCTCCTGGCTGGAGGCCAACAAACACAAAACCAGTGTACTAAACAAAAACACAACCAAGGACTCTCACAGAGTCCACTTCCCTCCCCCACTACCTCCACCAGAGCAGGTCCTGGTATCCACGGCTGCAAGACCTGAAGATGGATCACATAACAGGACTCTTTGCAGACACTTCTCAGTACTAGCCTGGAGCCCCATAGTTCCGCTGGGTGGCTAGACCCAAAAGAACAAAAACAATCACTACAGTTCAGCTCTCAGGAAGCTCCATTCCTAGTGGAAGGGGGAGAACACCACATCAAGGGAGCAGCCATGAGACACAAGAATCTGAACAGCAGCCCTTGTATCCCAGATCTTCCCTCTGACATAGGCGACCCAAATGACAAGGAGCCAGAAAAACAATTCTGTTAATATGAGAAAACAAGGTTCTTCAACACCTGCAAAAGATCATACCAGCTCACCAGCAATGGATCCAAACCAAGACAAAATCTCTGAATTGCCACAAAAATAATTCAGAAGATCAATTATTAAGCTAATCAAGGAGGCACCAGAGAAAGGTGAAGTCCAACTTAAAGAAATCAAAAACATGATACAGAATATGAAAGAAAAATTCTTCAGTGAAATAAATAGCATAAATAAAAAACAATCACAACTTCTGGAAATCAAGGACACACTTAGGGAAATACAAAATACAGTGAAAAGTCTCAGCAATAGAATCGAACAAGCAGAAGAAAGAACTTCAGACACAGAATACAAGGCTTTCGAATTAACCCAATCCATCAAAGACAAAGAAAGAAGAATTTTAAAAAATGAACAAAGCCTGCAAGAAGTTAGGGACTACGTTAAATGTCCAAACCTAAGAATAATTAGTGTTCCCAAAGAAGAAGAGAAATCCAAAAGTTTGGAAACATAGTTGAGAGAATAATTGAGGAAACCTTCCCTGGCCTTGCTAGAGATCTACACATTCAAATACAAGAAGTTCAAAGAACAGCTGGGAAATTCATTGCAAAAAGATCATCACGTAGGCACATAGTCATCAGGTTACCTAAAGTAAAGACGAAGGAAAGAATCTTAAGAGCTGTGAGGCAAAAGCATCAGGTTACCTATAAAGGAAAGCCTATCAGATTTATAGAAGATTTCTCAGCAGAAACTCCACAAGCTAGAAGGGATTGGGGGTCCTATTTTTAGCCTCCTTAAACAAAACAATTATCAGCCAAGAATTTTGTATTCAGTGCAACTAAGCTTAATAAATGAAGGAAAGATACAATCTTTCCAGACAAACAAATGCTGAGAGAATTCGCCACTACCAAGCCAGAACTACAAGAACTGCTAAAAGGATCTCTAAATCTTGAAACAAATCCTCAAAATATACCAAAATAGAGCTTTCTTAAAGCATAAACCTCACAGGCCTATATAACAATAACACAATGAAAAAAAACCCAAGGTATTCAGGCAACAAATAGCACGATGAATAGAATTGTACCTCACATCTCAATACTAACATAATGGGCTAAATGCTCCACTTAAAAGATACAGAATGGCAGAATGCATAAGAATTCACCAACCAAGTTTCTGCTGTCTTTAGGAGACTCACCTAACACAGAAGGACTCACATCAACTTAAGGTAAAGGGATGGAAAAAGATATCCCATGCAAATGAACACCAAAAATGAGCAGGAGTAACTATTCTTATATCAGACAAAACAAACTTTAAACAACAGCACATAAAAAAGACAAAGAGGGACATTATATAATGATAAAAGGACTAGTCCAACAGGAAAGCATCACAATTCTACATGTATATGCACCTAACACTGGAGCTCTCAAATTTATAAAACAATTATATAGACCTAAGAAAGAAGACAGACACCACCACAATAATAGTGGTGGGTTTCAATACTCCACTGACAGCACTAGACAAGTCATCAAGACAGAAAGTCAGTGAAGAAACAATGGACTTAAACTATATTCTACAACAAATAGACTTACAGATATTTACAGAACATTCTACCCAACAACTGCAGAATATACATTCTATCCATCAGCACATGGAACATTCTCCAAGACAGACCATATGATAGGCCACAAAACAAGACTCAGTAAATTTAAGAAAATTGAAACTATATCAAGTACTCTTTCAGAAAACAGTGGAATAAGACTGGAAATCAACTACAAAAGGAACCCTCAAAACCATGCAAATACATGGAAATTAAATAACCTCTTCCTGAATCATTGGGTCAACAGTGAAATCAAAATGGAAATTAAAAAAATCTTTGAACTGACAATAATAGTGACGCAACCTATCAAAACCTCTGGGATACGCAAAAGTGGTGCTAAGAGGAAAGTTCATAGCATTAAATGCCTGCATCAAACAGTCTGAAAGAGCACAAATAGACGATCTAAGGTCACACTTCTCAGAACTGGAGAAACAAGAACAAACCAAACCCAAACCCAGCAGAAAAAAAGAAGTAATGAAGATCAGAGCAGAACTAAATGAAATTGAAACAAAAAAAGTACAAAAGATTTAAATGAAACAAAAAGCTGGTTCTTTGAGAAGATAAATAAAATTGATAGACCATTAGTGAGATTAACCAAGAAAATAAGAGAGAAAATCCAAATAAGCTCAATTAGAAATGAAATGGGAGATATTACAACTGATACCACAGAAATACAAAAGATTATTCAAGGCTACTATGAACACCTTTACACGCATAAACTAGAAAACCTAGAGGAGATGGATAAATTCCTGGAAATATACAATTCTCCTAGATTAAACCAGGAAGATATAGAATCTCTGAGCAGATAAATAACCAGCAACAAGTTTGAAATGGTAATTTTAAAAAATTGACAACAAAAAATATCCAGGATCAGACAGATAGGTCATAGCTTTCTATCAGACATTCAAAGAATTGGTACCAATTCTATTGACACTATTCTGAAAGATAGAGAAACAGGGACTCCTCCCTAAATCATTCTATGAAGCCAGTATCACCCTAATTCCAGAACCAGGAAAGGACATAACAAAAAAAGAAAACTACAGACAAATATCCCTGATGAACATAGGTGCAAAAATCCTCAACGAAATACTAGCAAACCGAATCTAGCAGCATATCAAAAAGATAATCCACCATGATCAAGTGGGTTTCATACCAGGGATGCAGGGATGGTTTAATATGCATAAGTCAATAAATGTGATACACTACATAAACACAATTAAAAACAAAAATCACATAATCTCAATAGACACAGAAAAAGCATTTGACAAAATCCAGCATCCCTTTATGATTAAAACCCTCAGCAAAATCAGCATAGAAGGGACATATCTTAAAGTAAAAAAAGCCATCTACAACAAACCCACAGCCAGCATTACACTTAACAGGAAAAAGTTGAAAACATTCACTGGGAGAACTGGAACAAGACAAAGATGCCACTTCTATTCAACGTAGTACTGGAAGTCCTAGCCAGAGCAATCAGACAAAAGAAAGAAATAAAGGGCATCCAAGTCAGTAAAGAGGGAGACAAACTGTCACTGTTTACTGATGATATGATTGTATACCTAGAAAACCCTGAAGACTCATCCAAAAAGCATCTAGAATTTGTAAATGAACTCAGCAAAGTTTCATGATACAAAATTAATGTACACAAATCAGTAGCTCTGCCATATACCAACAGCGACCAAGCGAGAATCAAATCAAGAACTCAATCCTTTTCATAATAGCTCCAAAAAAAAATAGGTTGGAATATACCTAACCAAGGACGTGAAAGAACTCTGCAAGGAAAACTACAAAACATTGCTGAAAGAAATCATAGATAACACAAATGAAGAGAAACACAGCCCATGCTCATGGATGGGTAGAATCAATATTGTGAAAATGACCATAGTGCCGAATGTAATCTACAAATTCAATGCAATCCCATCAAAATACCACCATCATTCTTCACAAAACTAGAAAACACAATCCTAAAATACATATGAAGCCAAAAAAGTGCCCACATAGCCAAGGCAAGACTAAGCAAAAAGAACAAATCTGGAAGCATCACATTATTTGACTTCAAACTATACTATAAGGTCACAGTCACCAAAACAGCATGGTACTGATATAAAAAATAGGCACATAGACCAATGGAACAAAATAGAGGACACAGAAATAAAGCCAAATACTTACAGCCAACTGATCTGTGACAAAGCAAACAAAACATAAAGTGGGGGAAGGACACTCTATTCAACAAATGAGGCTGGGGTAATTGGCTAGACACATGTAGAAGAATGAAACTGGATCTTCATCTCTCACCTTATATAAAAATCAACTCAAGATTGATCAAAGACTTAAATCTAAGACCCGAAACCATAAAGATTCTAGAAGATAACATTGGAAAAACCCTTCTAGACATTGGCTTAGACAAAGGCTTTATGACCAAGAACCCAAAAGCAAATGCAACAAAAACAATAGATGGGACTTGATTAAACTAAAAAGCTTCTGCACAGCAAAATAAATAATTAGCAGAGTTAACAGACAACTCACAGAGTGTGAGAAAATCTTGACAAACTACATGTCTAACAAAGGACTAATATCCGGAATCTACAAAGAACTCAAATCAGCAAGAAACAAACAAATCCCATCAAAAAGTGAACGAAGGACATGAATAGACAATTCTCAAAAGAAAATAGACAAATGACCAACAAGCATATGGAAAAATGCTCAACATCACTAATGATCAGAGAAATGCAGATCACAACCACAATGTGATACCACTTTACTCCTGCAAGAATGGCCATAAGTCAAAAAATCAAACAATAATAGATGTTGGTGGGGATGCAGTGAAATGGGAACACTTACACTGTTGGTGGGAATGTAAACTGGTACAACTACTATGGAAAACTGTGTGGAGATTCCTTTAAAAACTAAAAGTAGATCTACAATTTGATCCAGCAATCCCACTACTAGGTATCTACCCAGAGGAAAAGAAATCTTTATATGAAAAATATACTTGCACACACATGTTTATAGCAGCACAATTTACAATTTCAAAAATATGGAATCAGCCCAAATGCCCATCAATTTATGAGTGGATAAAGAAAATGTGGTATTAATATACCATGAAATACTACTCAGCCATAAAAAGGAATGAAATAATGGCATTCACAGCAACCTGGGTGGAATTGGAGACTATTATTCTAAGTTAAGTAATTCAGGAATGGAAAACCAAACATCGTATATTCCTGCTCTTATGTGGGAGCTAAGCTATAAGGACACAAAGGAATAAGAATGATACATTGGGTTTTGGGGACTTGGCGGAAAGAGTGGGGGTGGTGAGGGATAAAAGACTATACACTGGGTACAGTGTACACTGCTTGGGTGATGGGTGCACCAAAAGCTCAGAAATCACCAGTAAAGAACTTATTCATGTAACCAAACACCACTTGTTCCACAAAAACCTATTGAAATACAAAAAGTTAAAAAAAATTAAGAAAAAAAAACCCTCGGTGGTAGAATTTTAAAAATGCTTCATTCACAGTTCTTGCTCTTAGGCATTTTGCAACCCTAGGAAGGAGAATGAGAGAGCCACAAAAGGACCAGTAAGTGCTATCACCTGTTAAAGAGGAGCGCTGTAAGGTATCAGAGGAGGGCCTGGTCACTTCCGGCTGAAAAAATAAAAAATGATTTCCTGAAGGAGGTGGATATATCAGTGTAGAAGAGAGCAAAACAAAGAGAGAAGCACATTTGGGTAGATTCAAGAACAAGATTGGCTCCACCTTACAGAAGTCAGGGAAGGAATGGGTTTAAATCAGAAGGAACGTGGATATCCCTATATGCAGGACAAGAATGGAGAGTACTAGGCCACTGGATTTAGACTTTAGCGACAAGTCTAATGGAAGGTAGAGTTTCAAGAAAGCGGTGGAAACGAAAACCAACCCATCCTAGAATCATGGAGACATGTTTTACAATGGGGCAGAGTCAATTCTACTTGTAGGTAGCAGGACAGGATTTGGAGTAAGAGAGAGAGATGTGATGGTAATTAAATCAGTGGAAGCAAACCAAGCTGGAATCAGAATGTGCACAGGGAGGAGGAAAGCCCTAGGAAGTCTATCTCTCTCTCTCTCTCTCTCTCTCCTATCCCCCATTCCCGGCCTAGACTTGGCTTTCCTTTGTGGCTCTTGTCACAATTTATAATTATCCTGTCTTATTAAATATTTGTATGTTTATTATTAGCTTTCCTTGAATGCA
Organism: Homo sapiens; assembly: GCF_000001405.40. Lineage (NCBI taxonomy): Eukaryota > Metazoa > Chordata > Mammalia > Primates > Hominidae > Homo > Homo sapiens. Next base: position 132,848,819 of record NC_000003.12, on the reverse strand, counting down.
CCCTGAAGGCAGGATTATGGACGGTGCTTGGCAAATAAAGAGTTCTTAGTAAATCACTTGTAAATGAAATGAAAAATAAGGAAAAAAGGAAAAAGTTAAAATACAGAAAAATGAGGTGGAGAGAAGAAAGCTGAGAGATCGTGTTGGACTCTGACATTCTAAGAGGAGTGGTAAGGTCACTACTGAGAGTGAGAAGTCAGAGAGGGGTTGCTGGTAAAAAGAGTGGAAAGTGGCTGGTCGAGAGTGAAGAAGAGAGAAGGAAAGGGTGATTGATGAGCAGCAGCGCCAGGAGAACCTCGTCAAAGCTGGATGGAGTGACTTGGGAGTGGATCAAACTAGCAAGGCTTTGACACTTTCTTCAGAAATCTTGGCAGTCGTAATGAGGAAGAAACTGAAGCAAATGGGAATTGCTAAGGGCTGGAGTTGGCAAGGCATGTACAGCAGGACAAGGTGATACCAAACTTTATATGCAGCCAACACTCCCATTCCTGATTTATGAGGCTGTGAATGTCTGGTTCCTAACACAGCCAACTCATTTAAAAAGGATATTCTCAAGAGTTTTGTTAAATAGTGCCAAATGAAACCTTCTGTTTCAGCCTTACATCCAGTCTACTTTACATTCCCATCTTTTTTGAAGATATAGACCACAATTTGATGAAAGAGCTATCCTTATGGGTCAAAATCTGAGTGGTTCCTTCAAGCTCTTTGATTTCCTGGGGACAGGTGGAAGGCCTTGGAAGAAGGACAAGCAAAGAGGCAGCTGGTGGGAAGATCAAAGGTGGCATTTCTTAACTGATGCCAAAATAAAATCAGAAGCATATAATCAGCTCCCAGTTCCGCCAACTTGACTGCAGTGGTTCTCAAACCTTAGCATTCATCAGAATCACCACGGGCGTGATTAAGTCAGTCTGGAGTGGGGCCTGAGAATTTGCATTACTAACACATTCCCAAGTGATGCTGATGTTGCTTGTCTGCAGACCACTCTGGAAACCACTGTTCTAACATAAAGGGGTGCCTCTTCATGTTTCCACATACCCCTTCTCTTCCTGCCTTTTTGTGACTGACAGAAACATTTATTAAGTGACTACTCTGTGCCAGGCACTATACTAGTTCTTAGAACAGAGCCTGACCCAGGGTAGGCACTCCGAGTAAATATTTGTTGACTAAAGGAATGAATTGTGGGTAAAATCCAGACACAATCCATGTCCTCATGGAGTTTATAGACTAGTGGGATTAATTAATATAGTAATGTTATACATAAATATACAATTACAAACTGTGACACATGCTATGAAAACAAATTACAGAGTGCTATTAGAGTAATTGGAAAAACCTGGGGGTAGGAGGTTGCGTGGTGAAGTGGGAATCTGAAGTCACTACTGATTTAAAATGATTTCACCAGGACAAAAGTGCTTGTGGGAATTATGAAAACAGAGCTCCACAGTCCACTCCACTGGTCTTCCCTTTAAATTCAAAGGCACCTACCACAGTACTGAGCAAACGATAATTGCTAACTGATTGATGATGTTAACCTAAATAACGGAGAGGGGCTCTCTAAAAGAAAAGGCAAGTATTTGGGAATAAAACATTGCAATGGGAATATGCATGTCATATCAAACTATGTGCATACTCAGGGAGGTAAAACAAAGGTTTTTAAAGGAAAAACTGAGTAAGGTTACATTGTTGTTTTGAAATAATTATCCTTGACTGCAAAGTTCAATAACAATGGTGATTCCAGTCCAAGGTTAGACAGGCAGTTGCTGGGCAGATGTCCTTGTAGAGGTATGATGGCTAATACTGTCAACTTGATTGGATTAAAGGATACAAACTATTGATCCTGGGTGTGTTGGTGAGGTTGTTGCCAAAGGAGATTAACATTCGAGTCAGTGAGCTGGGAAAGGTAGACCCACTCTTAATTTGGGTGGCACCATCTAATCAGCTGCCATTGTGGCTAGAATATAAGCAGGCAGAAAAATGCGAAAAGAGAGACTAGCCTAGCCTCCCAGCCTACATCTTTCTCCCGTGCCGGATGCTTCCTGCCCTCGAACATCAGACTCCAAGTTCTGCAGCTTTGGAACTCAGACTGGCTCTCCTTGCTCTTCAGCCTGCAGACAGCCTGTTGTGTATAATGGGACCTGGTGGTCTTGTGATTTAATGCTTAATAAATTAATATATATATACACACACACACACACACACACACACACACACACATATGGCATTAGTTCTGTCCCTCTGGAGAACCTCAACTAATACAAGAGGTACTTTTTGTGAAAGTTTGCAATGGACTTTGTGCAAGGCTGTGGTTTTTGCAGTCTTTTGTGATAGCTTCTGTTATCAGGCATACAAGCATCAAAACCCTCTCCTCATAGCTTTCCTCAGCTCTATTTATCAGGGTATTCTTCCTCCCTTCCCTCTTTTTTTTTTTTGAAATAGGGTTTCATTCTATCTCTTAGGCTGGAGTGCAGTGACATGATCATAGCTCACTGCAGCCTCGACCTCCTGGGCTCAAGTGATCCTCCCCTCTCAGCCCCCTGAGTAGCTGAGACTACAGATGCTTGCCACCACTTCCAGGTAATTAATTTTTTGGAGAGATGGTGGTCTTGCTATATTGACCAGGCTGGTCTTGAACTCCTGGTCTCAAGTGATCCTCCCACCTTGGCGTCCCAAAGTGCTGGGACCACAGGTGTGAGCCACCATGCCAGGCCTGTCAGGATTTTCTTAACATTAGTGACTCCATTTTGATTCTGACAATGTTCACAATGATAAACTAGCTAGCAACTAGCTGAGTGACTCTGGGCCAGTTATTAAAGTTCTTTGGGCTTCAGGCCTTTTGTCTGTAAAATAAGGGGTAGGGGTTCTCTATTTGTTCCAGGACTGGGGTTCTTGACCTTAGCTGCAATTGGAATCATGTACTTGGGATCACCTGGAATGCTTTTACAAACACTGCTGCCTGTGTCCCACTCCCAGAGACTCTGATTTAACTGCTTTTGGGGGGCCACCTGGAAATCAGGATTTTTAAAAGCTCCCCAGGTGACTCCAGTGTGTATCCACAGTTGAGAATCACTAGGCCAGAGACATTCTAGGTGATTCTATGATTGGTTTTAGTAGCTAAGCTCTATAATATTAGGAGTTAAATGCCCCCAAAGTCAAAAGTCTTCATTCTTAGCTTCTAAACCAAAATGTATTCAAATTTTAGTTAAGATAGATTCTATTTTAAACAAGCCTCCCAGCATGAATCCATGTTTCACATAATTATACTTTCTCATTCTTGGGTGTACAGAAAAATTCATAGAATTTTATTCAACGTTTACTAAAATATAACATGAACTTGATTTTGGTAAAACTTCCTTTCTTTCCAGAGTCTGTAGGTCTTGCTGATGGCATCTGTTATCATTTTGTTCGAGGGTTCTGAAGAGCCATTTCCAGAGATGTTAGGAAAAATGGTGAAGACGTGCTCTTTATTATGAAGAGCCTGCTCACTTGTTTTTTATATTTAGTGGAGACTAGAAACCCCTTTTAAAATGTTTTTTAATTTTGTCTCAAACATACGTATTCAGTGTTTCTTATCTTGACTTTGCTAGCTCAGCTAGAAGTATACGATTTAAGATGGGTTTATTTGTTGCCAGTTACCTTAATCCACAAGAGAAACATCTAGTTCATAATTATAACTGGCAACACTTTACCTTCATCACAGTGAACCTGTCATACCTCGGTATCCCTACGTTTCCTATTTTATGATATTGTCTCTGAGATCCTCTGGTGTCCACCCAGTGGTGTGCCGGTAAATATTTAATAACCATCTCTAGGGAGCAGGGTTGGTAAGCCCTAATTTGTAGCATTTGCCATTTCTGTAATGTAAATACTCCCACCCTGGTCCATTTTAACCTACAACATGACATCACTAAACCCAGTTTGGAAGAGATGTGCATTATTGGCTCTTCCTAAACTGTTACCAGCCAGCACTAGTGCACTACTGCTCCCTCCTGAGGCCCACCCCAGGCAGAATAATATAATCTGGCAGCTTATTACTGGGTACAAATTAGGATGAAAGGAAATCCTTTCATCTCTTCCAAATTCACCTTTGCACCCTCAGTCCCCATCAAACATACAAACCTGTCTCCTCAGATCCCTGCATTCATTTTTAACTGAAAAGACTGGATGGGAACTAAATGTAGATCCAGGAGATCCTGGATTCTTGGACTGGATTTACACTTCTGCTATCACCAACTGGGTGTTTAAGCAAATCACTTAACTTCTCAGAGGCTCAGTTCTATTTTAGTGAAAAAGGGATGATAATAATTTCTACCTACCACAATTGTTAAACATTGAAGAGATATTATATGTAAGCAATGCTTCTCAAACTTGAGTGTGTATCAGCATCGCCTGGAGAATTTGTCAAAACACAGGTTTCAGATACACCCCCTCCCCACCCCCACATGACACACACCAAGTTTCTGACTCATTCGGTCTTGGATATTCTGAGCATCTGCATTTCTTACAAGCTCCCAGGTGATGCTGAAGCTGCTTCTGGGGGCTACACTTTGAGTATTGCTGTGGTAAAACATCTTATGAATTTTAAGGTGTCATGTAAACATAAAGAGTGATTAACAGATTCTTAATGTCTTGTCTCTCCCTATAAATGTATTTAAATGAGATCTCCAAGGAGACACAATAGTGGCTTTGACAAAGGAGTGAATTCCTTGCATTTCACCAGAGGGTTTAATGGGTTACACACGGAGATTTGGGAATGCTAGGACTGCACCATGTGGTTTGGAAGGGAGTATGACAGCACTCTGTCCCTAGGAATTCCCCAATCCCTGGATAGTGAGAATCACACTTTACATGCATCTAGGACTTTACAAGGGCCCGAGCCATTCCTCTTCCAGTGCTTCCCAGCTTAGGGTATAGCTTCACTATCCAATTAGTGTTCAGGCCAGAATAAAGTCCTGTTCATTTTATTACCCAAATGCCTTTCAGTTCCATTTTCTTCTCTCCATTTTACCATCACCATCACCACCCTAAAATAAGCTTCCATCTTCTTTCAACTTGGTTATTGCAGTGGCCTCCTAACTGGCTGAGCTGCACTTGCTCTTTTCCTCTGTAATTCACTTTCACGCCATAGCAGGATGGTGGTCTCAAAATGCAAAAGATCATGTTCCCACCACCCCCAGTGGCTTTCTAACGTAAAGATAAGATTTCTGAAAGTGGCTCACAGGACTCTGTGAGCTGGCCCAAACTAAATCTCTCTAACTTTACCTTGGACAGTTCCTGCCACACTAGCACTCAGAGGGAGGTTTAAGTAGTAAGAAATGTTCCTTGCAATGCTTGCAAGACCGTTCAACCTCCAGAAGAATGGAACAGGATGAAAAGCAGGTATTTAGAGTTATAATCAGTCTGACAATTATTTTCATTGCTCAAAACCTAGAAATTTCTCACTTGATTATCATATCTACAAGGATCATTATATATCTGAAGATATCAAAGATAAAATGAGGGATAAAATTGTTTTTAACTTTCAAGAAGAGGCTCAATTCATTTGAGGAATGGGGATTAGACAGTTATTTCTGATTTTCATGGTCACTCAGATGCAAAGTTGCTTTTATTTTCCCCCCGACTGTGTATGCAACGTGTACACTTAATTATATGGTGGCAGGGCAAGGTGCCAATGTTCCTTTTGCATGTCTTTCAATTCCTTGTATTCATTATGGGTCTCTTCTTTATGGGGCTTTTGTACGTCTTATTCCCGCTACCTGGAAGGTGCTCCCCTCTCTCTTCCCCTAGCCAACTTCTATTTTTCCCTTCAGGTTATAGCTCAATCATCACTACCACCGGGGAAGCCTTCTCTGACCTCAAACCTAAATCAGATCTCCCTAATACAGTCTCTCATAGCACCATGTACCTCTGCCTTGGAGCATTTGTCACAGTTAAAGTTTACATTTGTTGTGTGGATTTTAAAACTTGAAATCTAATTTTCCCAGTAGACTCAAGTAAGCCCATATGGAAATAGACCATGTCTATCTTTGCTCCATCGTTTCACACTAAGGCCCTGTCAGAATACATGGCATACAGTAGGTGCCCCATAAATTAGAATGTCCATGTTGGCATCTCTTTTGATTATCATTTGATTCCCTATGAGGTGGGCAGAACATACTTTTATTATTATTATTATTATTATTCCCATTTGACTGATGATGAAATCAGGGTTCAAAAATATCTGTGTCTTCAAGGTGGGGAACATCACACCCCGGGGCCTGTCGTGGGATGGGGGACTGGGGGAGGGCTAGCATTAGGAGAAATACCTAATGTAAATGATGAGTTCATGGGTCCAGCACACCAACATGGCACATGTATACCTATTTAACAAACCTGCACATTGTGCACATGTACCCTAGAACTTAAAGTATAATAAATATATATCTGTGTCTTGCTACAGCCTGTATCATTAGTAAGCAGGGGAGTGGAAACACAATCCCTCCTAGCTAGGTCACAATGTCCTCTGGCGCTAAGGGCCTCATGAATCCTTTCCATTGAAGGGTGAGGTGCATTGCAAACTCATGTAAAATATTCCAGGAGGGGGGAAAATGAAAGAGAAAGATGATCTTTCAGAAGCTATTCTCAAATATCTAGCTTGAGAAATGTCAGATCAGATAGTACCCAAGACCTTGAAAAGGGCAAAGAGACAGTGAACTCTGCAGTTACATAACACAAAACTCCCAGTTATCTTTGTTCCTTTTCTCTCTGCTTAGAGATGAGCAGACATCAAAACAGACTGACAATATTGCTACTTGTTTAAAGCTAGAAGTTTAAGAGTAGGCGCCTGTTTGACTTCACATAATAAAACATTAATTGAACTTCACAGTTGAAAACAGTAAGAATATGTTATTTGCATAATGGCGTATGTGTCAGGTCTTCAGTAATTCTTTGATATCAAGACTTGGTGCAGAGCTCCATGGTGATAGTGGCTGGAATGTTTGAAGCAGTGTTTTTCTCAAAGCTTCCTTTGAAAATATAAATTCCAGACTTAATCCTGTGGCTCCTCTGTACTTATGTATGTGATTTGTTGGGAGAAGCACAGTATGCCCTAGTTTTGGCTTGAGCACAATGTCTTAAACCTCTAGCCTATGCAATTTATATTCACCTACAAAGCAAATGGCATACACTTATGCTTAATTGCCTCCTTGTGTTGCCCAGAATTTAGTGTCTGAGTTAATTAGAAATGGATGGCTCTGAGGTAATTCCACTTCAAGAAATTCTCTCTTCCTCTATCCCTAGTACCTCCTTGCTGTCTCTGTGTTCCTGTGGATTGGTGGAGTGAGGGACAACAACATCACTTTGGATGAGTGGAGATAAATACAATAGGAAGTTAGGGTGCTCAAGATAGCAGTCCTAACTCTAGGTCTTCTGGGCAAGAAGATCAAAGGTCCCCCAAAAAAGGATAGCAAGGACTATAGCAGTTGTTTGGGCATGGGTGCCCCTCATCAGTAATAGGTGAAGTGTACTTCTACAGGACACTGGGAGATGGTGGGGACATGGATGCAGCTGTCACATGGCTATGGGCTAAGCTTATAAAGTAGAGAGGTATACTTAAGGGTCCCATGAGGCATCATGGTCTCAAGGACAATTTTTCTTAAAAATGTTAAAATGATCCCAAGATACCTGAAAGTGGAGATGCAGCTACAAGTTATACAAGGTAAGCTTCACCAGAAGAGACAAAAATCACTAGGTTTGGTACAAGTTTAGAATTTAAATTACATGGCTTTTTTATTATTAAAGTTTTATTACTAATGTGTGCTCCTCAGCCACCTTTCCTGTTTCCTGTGGGAACTGACCTCCTCCTAGCAATCCACATAGTAGAGGGGTATCAGGAAAAGGAACCCCTCCATCATGGGCCAGGCAGATCCTTCCTTAGGGATTTGGAATTGCAAGTAGGAGATTCCAGTTGGTCTAGCTCTCCTGTCTTTAATTGAGGAAATGTATGCAAACCTGGGAGCTGCTGGCTGTGACTATTGTGTCATGTGTGCTGAAAAATAGAGACAGGTGGTCTATACCAAGAAAAAATGGAGCAGATGCATGGAGAAAAATGGAGACATGAGACAAAGAGAGAAAATGTTCTGGTTCCCTACAACCTTCCTTTTCTGGATTCCTGAGACTCAACTGTACCCTGCTCTTGGGTTGTCTGAGACACCCTCGAATCCTTATATTTGATCGGGCTTTTACCTAGGCTAATCCCAGTAGGTCTCTGTTATTTGATTCTGCTTGTTTTAAGAGATGCTGAAGAAGTATGTTATTTATATGTGCAATTGTACAGTAACAAGAACAGTGGCACTGTGGAAATAGACTAAAACCACCCAAATGAAAAGAAAGAGGCTATTTATTCAGTTTGGTATAACAAGGGAGTCAGCCACTGTCACTTGTTTTGGGCAGAGTTTCAAAGGCAGGCAGGGGAATAGAAAGGCTTTATTGTGAAAAGAATGGAAGGCTTCACGTGTGTCCTGATTGGAGGTTGTTAGCATGGAGATACTAGAGGTGGGCTAACTAGAAGTGGGACATCTTCTATGATTTGCTTGGGGAACATACTTGACTTTCTCTGCTGGTCCTAAGTTGGAAAAGTGGGGACAAAAATAGGAAAGTTTCCTTCTAGGCCAGTTGCTACAGAGGTTGTGGGTCAAAGTTGTATTGTCATATCTGTGTGGTCTAGCCATTGTCTGTATCTTCAGTCTCTCAGATCACATATTCATGGAGTACCTCTTTTTGTTTCTTTGTTTTTGTTTTTTTAAAGACAGAATCTCACTCTGTTGCCCAGGCTGGAGTACAGTGGTGCAATCACAGCTCACTGTGGTATTTAACTCCTGGACTCAAACGATCCTCCTGCCTCAGCCTCCCAAGTCGTGAGACTACAGGAGTGTGCCACCATGCATGGCTAAATAATAATAATAATTATTATTATTATTATTATTATTATTATTATTATTATTATTTTGGTAGAGATGGGGGTCTTGCTCTGTTGGTCAGGCTGGTCTTGAACTCCCGATCTCTAGTGACCCCCTGTCTCAGCCTTCCAAAGTGCTGAGATTATAGATGCAAACCACTGTGCCCTGTCTTGGCCTCCCAAAGTGATAGGATTACACATGTGAGCCACTGGGCCCCGCCACGTACCTCCTAACTGATAAAACTGACAATCTCACACCTGGCTGCATGTTAGAATAACCCGAGAAGCTTAAAAATACTACCCTAGACCAATCAGACCAGAATCTTTGAGGATGAAGTCCAGACCCCAGTGTTTGTAAATAGTTCTCCAGGCAATTCCAATGCACGGTCCTGGTTAACAAGCAAATACATGAAGAACTGACACATGCCTTGGCAAGGCTGCTGACTTCTCCACTGATCTTCTTTTCTGGAAGATACATGATTAGCAAGGTCTTATAGACATTAGACAGACTGGTAAGACTCAGAAGCCATGAAATAAGAAAAGTGGATTCACCAGGCACAAAGTAGGTGCTTGCTAAATGTGTTCTCTAGAGTGAATGTTCTTCCTAATATTTTCATGCATTTATAAGGCTGTTCCCTGATGGCAAAGCCACCACAATGGTTTAAACAGGAGATTTGGAGGATCTCAATTAATAAAAGGTGTCATTTATTCAGCCCATTCTAGTTTGTAAGCATTATGCTGAGCACTTTGTGTATTATGCCACCTGGACTTTACCATTATACCTCACAAGTTTAAACTGAAATGCAGATTTACCCCAGAGGTACTATTTGCTCCAAAGTTACCATTTTAGATAATCTAATTATTTAATTAACAAACATACATTGAATACCTATATGCCAACATTATTTTAGGTTCTGGGAATATAATAGTGAAAATAATAGACATGGTTTTACCCTCATGGAGCTTAAAGAATAGTGTGAGAGATTAACATTAATAAAATAATCACATGACAGATAATTACAAATTGTATTAGGATTTTGAAGGAAAGGTATAGAGAGCTAATAATTAGCAAACTTTTTCTGTAAAGGATTAAAGAGTAAATATTTTAGGCTTGTGGGCCACATAATCTTTGTTGCAACTACTCAGCTGTGCCATCGCATTGCAAAGGCAGCCATAGACAATACATAAATGAGTGAGTGTGATTGTTTCAATAAAACTTTATTTAAAGAAACAGGCAGCAGGCTGGATTTGACCCAAGGGCCACAGTCTGCTCAAGAAAAAGAGGAAATGACAGGGGACAAACACATTCTGAAAAATTGGAATGAAAAGGCAGCAGATTCCACATTTACAGATAACTCTGCATTAGAATCTTCACCTATACATGAGAAAAGTAAGGATCACAAAACAAACCAGAAATCCTTTCTCTGAACAAAACTCTAGCTCAGTATAATTTTTTTTTAATTCTGCCAGGGATAGAAATTCTGTTGTTCCTTCCTGGGGAATGTTCAAAATATCTTCTCAAAGTTAATAATGAAGAGGTGGAATTATTTGAAAATAGAAGAATCAGAAAGAAGGATATGGTATTAGTTTTAAATGTCTTCTCACCATTCACAAACCAGAGCTTCCAACAGCTGGATATTTTTGCAGAAAGTACTCTGGAGCTTTGGTAATGACCATTGTCATTTTTGGTTTGTTAATACCACAGCTTTTTGAAAAGATCAAAAATTATTATACATTCAGTTTTTTATTACTAATCAAGTTTTACTCATTTTTATTCAGCATCAATTTTTAATAATATTTTATTTCTATTAATTGTATCTTCAAATAATTTATAGCAGAATAATGTATGTTTAATGACTTTTTATAAATTAATATTTTCATTTCATTTAGTAATAGGTTTAAATATGTTTGCATTTGAAATGTATTAAACATTAAGTTTCTATTTTTAATCAAATGAGTTGTTACAACACATATTACTTGTTTGATGCTCACAGCACCCCTATGAGGTGGGTATCAGTATTATCTCCACTTACAGATGGGGAGGTTGAAGCTCAGAGAGGTTAAGCAACTTGCCCAAGGTCACATAGTAGTAAATGATAGAGCTGAGAATCAAAGTGAGGCAGTCTGGTTCCAGAGCTCATGCTCTTAACCATTATGCCGTGCTAGCACTTTTTGAAAAATAAAATAGTGGTGTTAAAACTTGAAACAAATACTGAAATATTAGCGTTGTCATTTTGCTCTAGTATTGCAGTTACTACATTTGAACTTAAAACTGTCAATCAAGAAAAATGATGAGACAAGTATCAATCACTTTAGGAGCTTTACTTGCCAAAGTTAAGGATGTTCACCTATGCCTTACTCCTAAGATGATTTTGAGGGCTCCAAATTTAAAGGGGAAAGGGCGGGATATTGAGAAGTACACAATTTTCATATAAGAGGGGCGTTAGGAAAAATAGTTATTCATGCCTTTGTCTGGCTCAGTGAATCTGCATTATTTTACAATAAGATGACATAGACAAATGGGACAGAGGAAAAATGCAGGGAATCTGCATTTATACATAAGATAACATAGACAAAATGGGACAAGGGAACAATCAGATATGCTTTTATGTCTGGTGGGCAGGGGACAACTGCACCTGTAAAGATAAGCTATCAAGGTCGGGCACGGTGGCTCACGCCTGTAATCCCAGCACTTTGGGAGGCCGAGGCGGGCGGATCACGAGGTCAGGAGATCGAGACCATCCTGGCTAACACGGTGAAACCTCGTCTCTACTAAAAATACAAAAAAAATTAGCCGGGCGTGGTAGCGGGCGCCTTTAGTCCCAGCTACTCGGGAGGCTGAGGCAGGAGAATGGTGTGAACCCGGGAGGCGGAGCTTGCAGTGAGCCGAGATCGCGCCACTGCACTCCAGCCTGTGCAACAGAGCGAGACTCCGTCTCAAAAAAAAAAAAAAAAAAAAAAAAGATAAGCTATCAATTTACATTACCATGGTGAAATTTAAACAGAAAAACCTTAGGGTAAAGATCTTTGGAGCTCATTAGGAATTTCCTTTTGGGCAAAATATGGGGGAAGAGTGTAGCTTTTCATCTTGTAGCCATCTTATTTAGGAACCAAAAGGGGAGGGAGGTTTGAGTGACCCAGTGCCCAGCTTGACTTTTCCCTTTAGTTTAGTGATTTTGGGATCCCAAGATTTATTTTCCTTTCACAAAACTGAAGAATGAGTTGGTTTTAGCTCAGTGAAAAGGGAGGGGAATAATATTCCAGATAGGGGAATAACAAAGGTCCTGAGGAATAGCAAAGGTCCTGGTTCACAGGAAGAACTGGAAGGAGGCTTCTAATGGCCAATTGTTCTGTGTATGTTCATAATAACCAGAAACTCTTCATGTTTTGGCTGTTAAGAAAATGCATGTGTGTGCTAACAGTCCCAGTGTGGATGCAAAATACAGCTATATTTTCATATATTAATAGATTATTGATAGCTAATCTGGTACAAGTGGACTGGAAATGGGAGACAAATTGAATGGTGAGGGGAGATGGAATAGAAGTATATGGTCTAAGGGCTGGTAGAGGCGGAGGAGGTATGAAGGAAGAGCAAGACATGAAAAAATTGACTAATCTGGAAACCAGCAAATACAAATCATTCATCAAAGAAACAGGTTATTGTTTTCCTGGGCTAAAAATGGGCAGAAATAGTTCTTTTTGTGCTTCCCTCATCTCAAAGTCCTTTGCCTTTCACATACCATCTTGCCAAATGGTGTCCATGCCTGGGTCACAGAGGAAGAAAGTTTTGTTCTGAGACCTTCACAAGCTTAATGTTCCTTATTAATTTACACTGCCTCATAGACTCTCCTATGTCCTATGAGGTTTGAGAGCTACCAGAAGGGCCATCTTATCCATCCCAGAATCAGATGCTCCAATCCCCCTTCCCCAGTATAAGGTCCCCAGCATAAGGCTTTCTCCAGAGGTGACCTGCTGTTTTCAGACAGCTTCCATTCTAATCCTCTGCCTAGCTCCACAACCACTTCTCTTTCCACACCCCACCCCAGTCACAGTGAAGCCAGAGGCTGACTTGGTGGGGGTGGCTGACACAAGGTGCCACCTTTTAGAACTTTCTCTATAATTTACTTGCTCCAGGGATTTCTCATTATGGTGTTAAACATACAACTTTAAATAACCTATTGTCAATTTGCCTCTTTGGGGAAATATGCTCAAATGGACTACCATTCCCCCAGCTCTCCCCCACACCACCCACCACAGATATCTTAGACCCCAGAGATAGAAGAACTTTGCCTTCCCACCAAAGCATGTTAATGCCTTCTCAATCACTATAATAACTGTGCATGCACTGACACCCCAAGCCATGCTCTTAACCCACTCACTGGCAGGAGAGCATCAAGCCTTCCCACTCTTCCACAGGGGAGAGGGAAAATCCACTGCATTCCAACAAAGGAGCAGCTCCAAACCCATGCAGCATTCCCCTTTCCTCCCCCAGATTCTCTTACCTTACCCAAAGAATTCTAATGCCCCAGCCTGATTTTTACCTTTGAATTATGTCACCATTAAGTGTTTTATAGAATGGCCCCCAGAAAAAATAAATATGATGCCCTAGATTCGACCAGCCGGTGTTGCATGATGTCATCATTCCTTTTTTGGTTTATTAATTCCCCCATACATGTATTCAGTGTTTACTATAAACCAGCCACTCTATCAGCCAGAAAAGAATAAGATATAAACCACCAGTTCAGAGGCCCAGCATTTAGCAGGGGACAGACTCATAAACAGACAATTACAATACAGTGACAATGACTGCATTGCATCCTGGATTTTAGATCCTCTATGATACCCTGTACTAGGTTTCTACTGAGATAGATTAAAATATGTGTTTACTTTTATGGCAAACACATTATACTTTACATGTTTGTAAAAATATTTAGCTTCAAAAATATTGGTGAATAGTTGAGCCTTTACTCCCCCAAAACGTGAAAATTTTATCATGGCAGCTGAAAATAGAACCAGCAGCCACTTAATACCTGGCCAATTTATCATGTCATGGAACAGGTGCAGGGAGAAAAATGATTGTCTGAAACAATTAGTAAAACAATCATGTTAAAAAAGAAATAATAAAGGGAGCCCACTGAGGGGGAATAACTAGCTGTTTTATTTTGGTAATTAATAATCATAAATAAACGAGCTGAAGATTGCCAAAATTATCAAAACAATTAACCTTCTGCTAAGCAATAAGACAGCCCAATGCAGCTCTAAGGAAGTCAGTTAAGCTGCATGACAAATGTGACTCAAGAGGCCACCTCCAAGAGGTTTAGTTCAAAAGTTTGAGATTTGGTTCTCGGAAGAGGTAAAATAAATTAAACAGCTCATTGTAGACCAGTGATTCTGAAACTTCAGCATGCATCAGAATCTCCCTGTGGGCTCGTTAAAGCACAAATAGCTGGGCCCACCACCACAGTTTTTAAATCAGCAGGTCTCAGATGAGGCTCCAAAATTTACATTTCTAACAAGTTTCCAGATGATCCCAATGCTGCTGGTTGAGGACCACACTTTGAGAACTGTGGTTATGAATGCTGGCTTTGCATTAATATCGCCCAGGGAGCTTTTTAAACGTGCTCAGGCCTTCCCAGAACAATTAAGTCAGAATTTTCGGGTACGTTGCTGGCTGAAGTATTTTTTAAAAGTTCCCTGGATGATTCTGCTGTGTAGCTAGAGCTGAGAACCACTAGGTAGGGTATACACCAGCAGAAAACATTAACTCTCAGAATTTATGTGAGAATGGTTATATGTCAAAGAACATACTAAAAAATTAAAATTTAAGGCCTGAAACCCTCAATCAAAATCCCAGATGAGACCTTCAGAAGCTGGGCATCCTGTTTTAGGGTGACTTTGAGTCAGAGAAATTTCCTAGTGAAAACATTTTTAACATACAGAATACATAGGAATTGTATCTAAATCTGATTTGCAAGGGTATGGGGAGTACTTTGGGTTGACTTGCTATGGAAAGAGCTATGTAACCAGGAGAAAATTGAGAAATCACCTCCCAAAATGTAAACAGCCACTAGACAGGAGTGAATTTTAATCTTATTTATGTAAAATTGCAGTACTTTTTCTCTGTAAATGATACATGAGTTTCAATGCCCATAAATCCCCAGCCCATTCGGTGGGAAACAGCTCTGCAGGAGGTTTAATCTAGGGGGCAAAGATTTTCAATTTCTTATGTCCCACCCATCCTTATCCTGCCCTGCCCCATGAGCTACAGGTGATTGGGCCTTGGGTGGGCGCCGGACACAAAGGCAGCCAATCATCTGCCTTTGGTTTGGGCAGGAGGGGTTCTGCCCAAATGGAGATGATGGATATTGCAGAGCCAATCCAATCTTTTCTTTCATCAGTGGCATTGGAAATAGGGGAATAAGGCAGAGGGTGGCATGAGGCAGATGTTGGCATCTCAGAGAGAAGCAGATGTACTGAGAAGCTGATCCTGATAATGGAGGAACCCAAAGAGTGGATTCCTGAAACGCCTTGAACTTTCCCAGATCCCAAACCCCTCTCCACCTCCTGGGTCCAGGAGGCCCAAACCCACTGGGTAGATTTCCGTGAGATCCTTCATTTTTCTTTGCCCCCAAATGTAGCTTTAGAATGACTGCCCCTTGGGCCAGGCATGGTGGCTCATGCCTGTAATCCTAGCACTTTGGGAGGCCAAGGTGGGAGAATCACTTGAGGTCAGGAGTTCAAGAACAGCCTGGACAACATGGTGAAACCCCATCTCTACTAAAAATAAAAAAAATTAGCTGAGCATGGTGGCACGTACCTGTAATCCCAGCTACTCAGGAGGCTGAGGCAGGAGAATTGCTAGAACCTGGGAGGCAGAGGTTGCAATGAGCCAAGAGCGCACCACTGTACTCCAGCCTGAGCGACAGAGCAAGACTATGTCTCAGAAAGAAAAAAAAAAAAACAGAATAACTGCCTCTTTTTTGAGGTTACCAGAGTAATTCTTGATGGAAAGTATAGCCTAATTGGAAGGGGTCTGTCACATAGGCAGGTAGTCTTTTCCTCTCCAGGTCTGTCCTCTCCTCTCATATTTGTCACGTCATGTTGTAGGCATGATTTTGTCTGAGGACGAGAAAGTCAGTTTGTTGAGGGGTTTTGAAATTTAACTTGTCTATGTTGGGGTCCTTGACTCTTTCTTTGGCTTTATGTTGGGCCTTTTTCTACTGCATAGGACTGTAAAGAAGATGAAATAGAAAAGTATGTCAAACATTTAATGGAGTCATATGTGACACACACACACACACACAATGGAGTGAGATTGCCTGGGTTCAAATCTCAGCCCTATATCTTCCTTACTTTATGGCTTTCAGTAGGTTATGTAATGTCTCTGAGATCAAAGCTAGTAATAAAACACTCCTTATCTAGTTGGGGGGAATAAGTGAAATATATATGTAAAAATCTTAGCCCAGTGCCTACTGCCAGGTAAATATGTCATCAGTGCTAGTTATTAGGACTGCACAATACAAGAGGTTATTTACCCATTTGAAGGGTTCTCCAAAGAGGAATGGATTCTCACAGTTAGAGATTGGTAAAAGGGCCTGACAATCAGCTTGGCTGTCACCTATAGGTCTCTTACCTGTAACTGTGAGTTGAGTTAAAGCTGCCATAACAGGAAGCCATCTGGAACTTTTGGATAAGCACCAATAAATCATTGTTGGGTCTCCAAGGGGCTGTGTGAGCCTTCATCTAGGAAGCCAGGCTGCCTCACAGGCAATTAAAATACAGCCATGGAGATAAGAAAAGCTCCACTAATTAAAACATAGCACATGTGGTTATGAGGGACTCATCAACCTACCTGTGATCTTACACTTGCCTCATTCATTCTGAGACTTCAAGCTCTATTCCTGCATTCTGGGACAGGATGGAGACATGTGAGGTTCCAGCGAGGCAAAAAAGTGAAACAGGCCCCCTCCAGACAAACTCTTTTTTTTTTTATTATTATTATACTTTAAGTTTTAGGGTACATGTGCACATTGTGCAGGTTAGTTACATACGTATACATGTGCCATGCTGGTGTGCTGCACCCACTAACTCATCATCTAGCATTAGGTATATCTCCCAATGCTATCCCTCCCCCCTCCCCCCACCCCACAACAGTCCCCAGAGTGTTTAATTCTAACATGAGGCAGCAAGCAGGCCTCCTTCAGCAGGTGAACTCACACAGTCAAAAGACTTGTGCCAAATCAGAGTGACTTTTTCTGTCTCTAATGGCTCCAAACTTGTATGAGAAGGGCTGACTGTGGAAATGCCTGTGGTTGCAAGGCTCTTCAAAATAGATAATCATGTCTTATTAGGCCTCCATATATAAAAATCTGGGCTGTCAGTTCTTCTAGATTCTGATCATCCTATAAAAATTTAAAATATCTTAATTGCCAAATGTATATTTTATGAATTATAGTAAATGTTCAGCCTTCTTGCAAAGTTTTCATGTCTGGATTGCAGCTAATTAGAATATAATGAGATTTTCAGTATTAAAAATGAACTGAGTAAAATAAAATGTTGCATGACATAGCTTGAGTCAGTTATAACTGGTTAAACTAGGACAGTAGAAACCACATTATTAGAGCTTTCTGTGTGGGAAGAAGTACCCTATATCTATACTCTTCAATATGATAGCAATGAGCCACATGTATAGTAAAATGTGACAGGTATGACTGGGATACTGAATTCTTAATTTTACTTAATTTTAGGTAATCTGAATTTAAATTTAAATAGTCATATGTGGCCAATGGCTACCATTTTGTAAGTTGCAAAAGGATTAAAGATTGGGTTAAATCCCAATGATGTGCCTTATATGCAACATTTCAGAATTAACACAAATTATTGACTTACTTGCTTTCTCAAAATACAAAGAGTCAGAATATACAATATCTACCCCCACAATACGTACAAAACAAACTGGTTATCTGAGCTTTCTAATTAGCATAGATTTCAGACAAAGAGGCATTTGCCATATATTTAACTGTCAAAATATATATATAAGCCATAAAATTCCAGAATTTGAAGAGATTTTGAGATTATCCAAGGTGTTCAAAACTCAGATTGTTTGGAAATATTTGGGGATGTTTTGGGTTGCCATAAAGGCCAGGAGGTGCTACCGGTCAGAAGCTAGAGACTTAAAATTTCCTGCAATGTGCAGGATAGTCTTACATGTGAAAGAATTGTCCTGCTTCAATGCCAATTGGTCTTTCATTGAAAATGCTTTCAGTCCAACTATTTATTTTTTTAATTAGAAATTTGTCCCAGGCAAGCTGGGTATGGTGGCTCACACCTGCAATCCCGACACTTTGGAAGGCCTAGGTGGGAGGATCCCCTGAGCCCAGGAGTTTAAGGCCAGCCTGAGCAACAGGGTGAAACCTGGTCTCTATAGAAAAATACAAAAATTAGCCATGTGTGGTGGTGCACACCTGTAGTCCCAGCTACTTGGGAGGCTGCAGTGGGAAGAATCCCTTGAGCCCAAGAAGTCAAGGCTTCAGTGAGCCATGATAGCACCACTGCACTCCAGCATGGGCAATACAGCAAGACCCTGCCTCAAAAAAAAAAAAAAAAAAAAAAAGGAAAAAAGAAAATTTTCCCAAGAGATTAAATGACCTTCTCTGGATCCCACAGCTATCTGAGTTGCTATTAACACCCAGCTCCTTAAACCATGGCATGGGTGGCCAAATGGCATCTGGTAGCAAAATGTATTTGTCCTGTCACTCCCTAAGCTGCACTAGATTTTCATGAGAAGTAAATGAATACATAGCAAAAGATGTTTTCATGCAGTTTACCATCCTTAGGGTAAAATTCCAAGAACAAGTCCTCTACTGTGGGCTTGTGATGCCCCCATATACGGTCACCCGAGAACATATAGAACTCTCTGCACTCCTTTTGCTGCAATGTGATGACAGTGACTGTTTGGCTTGTAAAGCCTAAAATATCTACCACCTGGCCCTTTAAGAAAAAATTTACCAATCTGTGACATCAGTTATTACAATACTGTACAGTTAGTGTGACAACAGAGGTAAGTGCCAAGGGCTATGGGAGCACCGAGGAGTCAGTAATTAGAGGAGTCAAGGAAAGCTTCCCAGGAAAGTAGATATTGAAGGATAAATAGTTGGAAAATGGGTTATATTATAGGCTGAATTGTTTCCTTCCACCAAAGTCCTGTGTTGAAGCCCTAACCCCAGTACCTCAAAATATGACAGTATTTGAAGATAGGGCCAATAAAGAGGTGATTAAGTTAAAACAAGGCCCATAGGGTGGGCCCTAATCCAATCAAACTGGTGTCTTTATAAGAAGAGAAGGTTAGGACACTCAAACGACATGCCAGGGTGCGCGTGCACAGAGTGACGACCATGTGAAGAGGCAGCGAGAGGGCCGTCATTTGTGAGCCAAGGAAAGGAGCTGCAGAGGAAGCCAACTTGGCTGGCACCTAGATCTTAGACTTCTAGCTTCCAGGACTGTGGGAAAATAAATTTCTGTTGCTTAAGCCTCCCATCTGTGGTATTTAGTATTGCAGCCCCAGCAAACCATTACAAGATAGAATAGAAAGATACTTTAGCTCATGGTGAGAGCATCAGGGACTAGAAGAGCTATATTTGCAGCAAATGGCGAGAGTGTGTCATTACAGGATTGTGGATATGGGAGCCTGCGAGGTGGCGGAGAAAATATAAGATGGAAGAGGGACTATAAATGCTGAAGCGTTCATTTAATTCCCTGGGCAGACAGTGAGCTTCTAGAATTTGGTTTCCAGAATGGTAATTCTGATGGTAGATGAGAGAATAGTTCCAGGGAAACCAGTAGGGTAGCTTGAAATTTATGAGCAAGAGATAAGGAGAACCTGATCTATGGTGCTGTCCATGGGATGCAAAAGTGTGAGTGGATTTAAGAAGCATTTCAGAGGAAAAAAACTAAAAAGATTCTGTTGGCCAACTGGAAGCAGAGGAAATGGTACAGCAAAACTCTATCTGCAATAAAATCAAATTTCCACAAGTTCGAAACTGGTCCTTAACCCAACTGGATACTCATTCCTTGCCCAGAGATTACAGAAAACATTCTTTTCAAGGAACAAATAAACTGTACTTAAGTTTTAAGATGGGTAAAAGAAATTAAAAAATGACTTAACCTGAAGGAATTTCTGGATAGAAATTCCTGGATAGAGAAAATTAGGTGTCATAAATTAGAGAAGAGAAAGAGATGGTTTTAATGGATAATTAAAACTAGACAGGACAATGAAAGATAGTTTATCAATACAGCATTAGGAAGTGTTGGAATGATGTGTATATGGGCCTTACAAGGCAAAAGGAGATGGCAGCCTTAAAAATGAGATCTGCTTCTATGAGGATGGGTTAGAAATTTATTACTTTAATATAAATTTTAAATTGATGCCAGAGTTTTAAATAATAACAGCATTGTTACACAAAATGTGGGTGTTTTTATCCTGCATTCGAACGTTTGCTCTTAGTAATGTTCTTTGAAACTGATAACCTAATTATACAGATGTTCATTCTTGTATGTAGTCAAAAAAGAACCAGCCTAGCCACACTCAATGCCTGAAGATACCCTCTTTTTAGAGGCCTTATTTGAAGGGCCTTAGATCCACTGGAATTGAAGATAGCAAAATCTCGGTGATTTAAAACACAAAAAATTTCTTTGCTGATCATGCCTCAAAGCCATTGTGAGTTGTCATTCTCAGTGAGAGATTCAGGCTACTGGAGAAGGCTGATCTTAGAGGTGGTCAGTTGTCATAGTAGAGGAAAAGAGAATGTGGCAAAACATACTTTGACTCTATCCAGATATATTATGAATCATTGGCCAAAGCAAGTCACACAGCCACACTTACCATGGAAGGTGTAGAAAATAAAATCCTACTACGTGCTCTGAAGGAAAGAGTGCTGGAACATCTGTGAAATAGAACATTTGGGAAAAGTTTTAATGAATACCTAGAGCAGACTGTGGCTTAGGTCTTCAAAGCATGACCAGTAACCTTGACTTTGTATTTTTATGTGATGGAACTTACAAACTTTTCACAAAGAGCCTATTTTAAGTGAGCATTTCAGTGAAATGTTAAAAGGTATATAAGAAAGTTCATTTTTTACCGTTCATTTATAATCTTGAAAGTCATAATGCCCAACAAGTATACTAATAATAACAATAGCTAACATTTATTGAATACTGACTACATTTTGGGCACTATTCTAAGCACTTTACTTGTATTACCTAATTTTATCTCACAATAACCTTACTGAGAAGACAAAATTATTATCCCAATTACAGATAAGCAATTTGGGACACATGTAATTTTTCCAAGGCTGTACAGCCAGTACATGGCAAAGTTAAAAATATCAAACCAAGCAAAATATTTCCAGAGTATGGCTGCTTAATCACTTATTATTTGCATAATTAATAGCAAATAAAAATAAATACACATTTAATTGAAAAGGCATTTTAGTAGCTGAGCAAATGAAACCAAATTACAATGATTTGATGTTTCATTTTCATTGCTATCAACATTGCAACATTCACATACTTCTAATACCACTGGATGTTTTTACTGAATTGTTATATCACCTTTATCCATGACATAATCAGGAACTAGATATTAATATTTTAAAACACCACTATTAGATTTAAGTCCTTAATCCATCTCGAGTTGACTTTTGTATAAGGTGAGAGAAAACGATCCAGATTCATTCTTCTTCATGTGGCTTGCCAACTATCCTAGCACCATTTGTTGAATAGGGTGTCCTTTCCTCACTTTATGTTTTTGTTTGCTTTATCAAAGATCAGTTAGCTGTAAGTATTTGGCTTTATTTCTGGGTCCTCTATTCTGTTCCATTGGTTTATGTGCCTATTTTTATACTATAGTCACCATGCTGTTTCGGTGACTATGGACTTATAGCATAGTTTGAAGTCAGTTAATATGATGCCTCCAGGTTTGTTCTTTTCACTTTGGCTATGTGGGCTCTTTTTTGGTTCCATATGAATTTTAGGATTGTCTTTTCTAGTTCTGTGAAGAATGACTTGAAACCATAAAAATTCTAGAACATCAAAAAAACCCTTCTAGACATTGGCTTAGGCAAAAACTTCATGACCAAGAACCCCAAAGTAAATGCAACAAAAACAATGATAAATAGATGGGACTTAAACTAAAATGTCTCTAAAAAGCAAAAGAAACAATCAGCAGAGTAAACAGACAACCCACAGAGTGAGAGAAAATCTTCACAATCTATATATCCGACAAAGGACTAATATCCAGACTCTACAGGGAACCCAAACAAATTACCAAGAAAAAAAAAATCCCATCAAAAAATGGGCTAAGGACACGAATAGACAATTCTCAAAAGAAGATATACAAATGGCCAACAAGCATATGGAAAAATGCTCAACATCACTAATGATCAGGGAAATGCAAATCAAAACCACAATGCGATACCACCTCACTCCTTTAAGAATGGCCATAATCGAAAGGTAAAAAAAAAAAAAAAAATAGATGTTGGCAGCAATGCAGTGAAAGGGGAACACTTTCACACTGCTGGGAATGTAAACTAGTACAACCGCTGTGGAAAACAGTGTGGAGATTCCTTAATGAACTAAAAGTAGAACTACCATTTGATGCAGCAATCCCACTGCTGGGTATCTACTCAAAGGAAAAGAAGTCATTGTACGAAAAAGATACTTGCACACACACGTTTATAGCAACACAATTTGCAACTGCAAAAATATGGAACCAGCCCAAATTCCCATCAATCAATGAGTGGATAAAGGAATTGTGAGATATACACACACACACACACACACACACATATACACACACACACACATATATATACACACATACACACACACACACACACACACACACACACATACCATGGAGTACTATTCAGCCATAAAAAGGAATGAAATAATGGCATTCACAGCAACCTGGATGGAGTTGGAGACCATTATTCTAAGTGAAGTAACTCAGGAATGGAAAACCAAACATCGTATCTTCTCACTTATAAGTTGGAGCTAAGCTATGAGGATGCAAAGGCATAAGAATGATATAATGGACTTTGCGGGCTTGGGGAAAAGGGTAAGAGGGGGTGAGGGATAAAAGCCTACAGACTGGGTACAGTGTATCTCAAGCAGCAGGCAATTCCTCGGGTGATGGGTGCACCAAAATCTCAGAAATCACCACTGAAGAACTTATTCACGTAACCAAACACCACCTGTTCCCCAAAAACCTATGGAAATAAAAAATAAATTAGTAAATCGAAAGAAAAAAAAACACTTTTTCTAAAGGAACTCACAGCACCAGAGGCATGTGATATTTTATGTAAAATTTACCTTATGGACTATAAGATTCTAATTCCTTCAGATCAATGTAATGAACTATTTTTGCTAAACTACATACAGCCACCTGTACTCCTCCACTACTTTCTTCTGGAAATCACCCCTTCCCATCCTCTGCCCCACTCTATCAAGATGGTAAACTCTAGACTAATCATCTTGCACAAAGTGTCCCTGGCTTCAGTTAATTGGTCCAGGAGAAGATATGTAGGCCAATCACCTCCCATGACCTGTCCTGGCTAGCAGATTGGTTCTAGGGTAAGCATAGTATCCAAGCTGACCACTTAGGGTCCTTCACCAGGGATTTGGCCATTGAAAACAAGGAAGGTCAATCTCTTCCCAGGTGACTGAAATTATAAATGAAAAACTCAGATAGGTTCTGTTAACAGCCATGTTTCCTTCCCATGTGAGCAGAGTATGCCAGTTGAGAGAGTGAGAAAGAAAGAAATGAAGTACAAAATAAAGATAAAGACACAGAAAGGCAAAAGGTGAAGTCAGAGGTCTGCTGAACATTGGCAGCCCAGCCCCACTTCTGCTCTTGAGATCTTTGAGACACCACAGCATCTCTGCTCCAACCACTGTTACTTGGCTTTCTATCATTTGCAACCAAAATAGTTCAAATTAAGGTAATCAATTTCTCAAATTCTTTATCCAACTGGAGTATTAATTAAAGATTTAAAAAAGAACATATGTGCAATCATGGTTCTTATGATTCACCAAAGGAAATAAAGTGATCAAAACTGAACAGAAGGTTGAAGGGATTTCATGATGGATAATTACTCATATAACGCAACCACAAGAAAAGGGGTAATTCCGAGTTTTCTCTAATTTTTGCCTGTGCTTGCAAAAGGATAAAGAAGCCAGAATCCACATGGTATCTACTGGTTACAAAGAAAGGAGCAATAATAGGATAAAAATAATTTGAAGCATGCTATCAAATGAGTTGAAACCCAATTTCTGCATCCCTGATGGGTGGCCAAATTTTAGGGACACCCCTTTTCCAAAGCTCTCTTGTAACATTCTCATACCTTTGAGATTCTGATAGGATCCTATCTTCCCGGGCTAAAAAATAAATTCCTCCTCAAGACATTGATTATGGAAATGGTCATCAGAATTCCTCTCCATGATCATGAGACACTAGAATTTGGAGGGGGGCCAGCTTCACTTAAGAAGGTGTTTTTCTAACCCCCTTCTCTTTTAACCCCCTAAATTCTCCTGATAGCCATTTTGACAATGTTTCAAACTGAACAGGTTTTTAAAGTAAAAAGAAATCATATTATATCATCATTATCAATTCAATCAATCCTTAATTATTTGATGGGAATAAAATGTGAATTATGTCAAGCAGCAGATAATTACAATTTAACTCTTAAACTAGTTTATTTGCTTTGTGGACTTCCCAAGATCTCTTCCCCACCATCATACCACAGGATTCTAGGTTATAAAAGAAGTATCAAGTTGGAAGAAACTTGGAGCTAGGAATAGAAGAGAAGAGTTTTGACTGTCAGTAAATATGGGAGTGGGTGTATCTCAATATCAAAAATACATTATTTTTAGGTAATCTGTCTGTCTTTTTATGTGGATAACTAAATAATTACTAGAACTAGCTTTGTAATGCAGTTATATGCTCAGATATATACATACACACGCACACCTTCACCAAACTGAGAAAAGCTTCTCTTTATGTTTGACTCTCTATTGGTACACTTTAGTAAGAAATGATATGAAACAAGAGAAAATGCTAGCTCCTATTTTATGAGGAAGAATTCTATCTTAGCCTGGATTCCCCCAAAGCAGAGCCTGAGGCAAAAACTTCCTTCCAGATAGTTTATTTTGGAATATGCTTCCCAGGAAGCAAGTGTACAGGACAGGGAAAGCAAAATAGGAAGAAGGCAAAGCTGATACAGGGATGTATTACTGAGTTGGCCACTACTATGAGCAGCCAGTGCTTGGTCTACCAGGATGTGCCAGAGTCTGGTGACCTGCATCTCAGAAGCGTCCATCCTGGGGACAAAAGAGGGAAGGATTTATCTGTCTCCTCCTTTCTCCCACTCAAGGATTTACTCCCCTAAAGTTTTAGAAATTTGAATATCTGTAATTATGGAGCAGAATTCCATGTCTGTGGCACCAGCAAGCCATAAGGCGTGAAACTAGAGGTATATGGCCATGGCATGAGTGCATAACAAGTCTCAGTCTAATTGTACCTGCATGAAGCAGATTCAGTTCTGCAAGAACTAGTAGTCATAAAAGTAGCTTGGTTAAGAAGTAAACCTGAGAAATAGACAAAGTTGTTCAATATAAACAAATAAGGTTGAAATGAATCAAGAGATTCATTTCAAGACAGCTGTTAGGAATTTATCTTATGTCAAAAATGCCATACCTCTGCTCGCAAACATGCACCCATCATCACTGTGTTAACTAAAGAGGGAAGAATAGTTTTCTCTGTATCATCCCTGCCACCAGAGAAAAATGTAGCAGCTCTCATCTAGCACAAGCTTTCAGCATCTGAGAGTGACAAAGACAGATGGCATATTTCTGAAATATAATTTGATTGTTTGGTGGGGACTTGAAAGAGTATCTTGGGTTCAACAAATACAAGATCACACATGGCTAAAAAATATTCAGCAGCAAACTAAAAACAGAATTTAAAAGCTCGAGTAATTATTATTTTGCATGAAAAGCAACTAATAGTCTCCAGGTCAAACCATCCTCAAGGCTTAAAAGCAGCAAGACTCCCATGGGTTTGGCTTAAAATGATCCATGGACCTCATATTTATGTGCATACCCCATAAGAGAGGTACAAAATTAGACAATGTACCCTATACAAAAAGGAGAATTTGTCTTAAGACAAAATCCACTCAAAGCCTCAATATAAAGAACAAAGATGTGACCAAAAGAAAGTTTAAAAAATTGTACATCTTTGCATTTATTCATTTGATCCTTGCTAGTCTTGGCATAAGCCATGACTCTCTGTGAATGAGCCCCTAGAGGAAACTGGGCTATGGTGTTCAGGAAAACAAGGCAACTGGCAGACCTAAGAGAAAGGATTATATTTCCCATAGGATTCCCATGGGAATTTGAGGCTAAACTCTTGGCTTATTTCACTGCAGACAAATATTTTATATATAGTGATCCAAAAGCTCTCCTAGTTGACTCACCAACTTGAACCATGAGCGTCTACCCCAGGTGAGTCCACATTCCTCAACAGGCTGACCACACACTGGAAGCCACAAGATTCACTGCCAAGTGGGCAGCAAATGCCAATAATGTCAGGCTAGTAGGCAGAATTTCCATGGAGAAAGTACTTTATAAATGCTAATGTAATTATCTTAAAAAGTTAACCTCAAGTTTTAAAAAAATTGTCCTCATTAATCATATTCACTATTAAAACTAAGCCATGAGGCTTAATGCCTTGGGAAAGGAGGCAGAGCCACCTAGAACAAAGATGTCTGCAGATGAACAGGAAGAAGGGAATGCCTTAGGGGGTATCCCCAACAGAGAGGGCAGGTCATACCCTATCTGGAGGGGAAAAAAGATTGAGAAGGAAAGAATGTAGGAGGAAGGGTTTGCTTGGTCTCATAAGGGGCCAGTGCTCCCACCCCTCTGCTCCTTAGCTCAGGCAGCAGGAGTGGACGATGAAAGGAGAGAAATGCAAGATAGAGAGAAGGTAATAAAAACAGGATTCAGACATGCCCACAGGCCAATGAGGGGCACAAAAATTGTAGCTGAGAGTAAAGATTACCAGGCTGAAAAAGTAACTCCATGGGGTGGACATGGGCCATGGAGTGGACATCCTGGGCAAGGATACTGGATAAGGCTTAGGTGGGACTTGAGAGCTGAGGACCTAGGAGAGGACCTGTTCTCCTAGCAAGGCCTAGGAGAACCTAGATAGAACTGAATCAGCAGCAGTCCTAGCCATCAACTTCTGCAGTTGAAGCCAGGAGGGTATCCAGGGAACAGCAAGAGCATAAAGCCCTCTTCTCCCGTCTGCCACAAGGATAAATTAGCTGCCCTCTATGTCGAGATACTGTGTTGTCCAGGGAAGAAACTCTGAGAGCTTGAATATGCATATAAAATGAGACTGTTACCATCAATTGGCACATTTTAAGTTCCCTGGCCAGCCTCTAATGAGATGCAGACTTGATGGCCAAGTGAAATAAATTATAGAAAATAATAGTATAATACATGCACATCTGAATTGTGTCTTTCAGAATAAGTTATGCTGAGGTCATAAACTGTGTCAAAATCTCAGCAGCTCAATACAATATGTTATTTCTTGCCCATAGAAGATGTGTATCTCACATCAGCAGGTCTATGGGTGGGGACTCTCTGCTCCATATTGTCCTCGCTCTAGCACCCGGACTATTGGAGTCTCTGTCATCTAGAATATCTCAGCTTCTGATAGCAGAGGAAAAAGAGTGGTGGGTCATAACACCAACACATAACACCATAAATACTTTGGTTCACACATCACTTTTGCCCACAACCCAGGGGCCAGACTAGTTACATGACTCCATCCAAACAAAAGATGGAAGGGCAAGAGTAACCTCCCCTGAGCTGAGAAGAGAAGTGAACAGGATAGGGTAAGCACTAAAAGCCTCTACCACATAAGCCAGAGACTTACCCTACTACATAAATTATTATTCTGTTTGAGAGTTTGAGTTACACAAAATTCACATGATCTCCCAGCAATCAAAATGTAAGTTCTCCACCTCTGACCCAGGTCATCTTTTTCCTTTTCCTTTCCTTTTCTTTTTTTTTCTAAACTTATCTTGGAACTGGTCTGGACTTGCTCATCCCTAATCCAACCTCCCACTGCTACTTTCCTTCCAGATCTTTTCAACAGTGCCTCCATGAGGTGATCCATTCCTAGGAAAACTAACTTCTCTATCCTTGGTTCTCTCACTTTCCCTGACCCCCAAATACTTCCCAGCCTTTATCAAGTCAGCCTGGACCCTACAATGCTCTCATAGCACCCACCTTGACCTTGGATGCCTCTGCCCCTGCAACCACTCAAACAGCCAAATCCCAACACTTGTAGGAACTTGATAGTCCAACGTTCTAAGGTTCCAATATACAGAGGCTGATAAAAATCACATAAAAATCATATAAAAATCAATAAAGCTCTGCCTTAGCTGTATGATACTTTGAAAACTGCAAAACTCTGGCCCATTTGAACAGCATTATGCATTGAGATCAACATTAATATTTTATGACCTAGGCACTCTTTATTTTTAAAAAGGTTTCTTCCTGCTTGGTGTCATCTTGTTCAAGAGGGTTAGTAGGGAGCCTAGAATTTCCTCTGATGGGACTGTATATGGGCAAAGCCAGAAACATCACCCCGATGTTTCCACTCATAGCATATTCACTACTTGGGAATTAGAAATCATGTCAAATATTAATAATTCCCCAAATTTTATTCACATATTTGTGTTCACTTTGTCCTGAACCTTTATAACACCAATAATGTCAATCATTTTTCTCTCAGTCTTTATCTAGAAATTCTGAATCTTTTCAGCTTGTCATCTAACAGAGACCAAACCACCCATCACTTCTAAAAATGGGTCCATGGCACTGACTTTGTATGTGGAAAAAGACAAGCTTGTTTCCCTAGATCTCAATCTACAGAGATAAAGGGTATGATTTAGTCTGATTCTCTTTGCACATGCCTTGAGGGAAATCGGTAGATGTTAAGCAAAGGATATGGTAGAATTCACTAGTATTTGATCAGGGAGGGGGTCAGCTTTATAGGAGAGCTTCTCTCTGCTCTCCTGTGGGTGATACCTGCACACTCTCAAGGGCTTTCAGTAATTGTTTGCATCTCCACAATATGTCACTTCCTTGTGCCCTTGTGAGAAGCTTGTCATATAGCAACACTCTGTACAAATGCTGTCCTAATGAAACAGCGAACCTGAGATACAGACAGACCTTTTGCAAAGCAGCATTTTCATGGTCTGCAGAATAGGAATCCAAAAATTTTTAAAAAAATGTAAAAAGGATATTTCTAAAATCAATGTAAAAGTTCTTACCTCACCCAGTCTCTCAGAGGTGTTTATCTCCTCTCTACTTTCCAGGCAAAAGACTGCAAATCTAACAGTTTATGCTCATGATAGTCACTAAATCTTTGGCAGATTGTATTTTTGCAAAGATGGCTGCACCAATCTGTATATCCCATCTACATGCTCTGCTTCCAATGTGGTTGACGCTCGTGCCACTGAAATGTGGAACCTTTATTGCTTCCACTGAACCTGGGTGAGCTTGAGACTGCCCCTACCAATTGAGGACAGCAGAAGCGATGCTGTATGACTTCTGAAGTTAGGCCATACAAAGCACACAGTGCCCCACTGGCTCTCCTTTACGGCACTCACCCTTGAAACTAACCCTTTAGGGCACACTCACCTTTGGACTAACTCGCAGCATGGTGACAAACTAGTCCAAACTAGTCCATGCAGAGAGACCACATGAGAAGCCCACGTGGAGAGGAACTGTGGCTCCATTTGGCACCTAGAAGCAGCTGCTGGTCGAGTGAGTGAGTGAACCTTCAGATGATTCTAGCGCATAGCCCTCCTGTCTTCCATCTGATGACCAGGCATTGTGGAGCAGGACAAGCCATTCATGCTGCGCCCATTCCAAATTCATTACCCACAGAATTACAGAGTATAATAAATGTTTTATTCCATTAAATTTTAGGGTGATTTGTTATGCAGCCACAGTAACTGGAACAAAACATTTCCGGGTATTTCATCTCTCGTTTCATCTTTATATGACTCTTAGGGTGACTTTTTCAAACAACCTGAAAATTATATGATTGCATCTAGGATAGTGGGAAGATAATTTCTGTTCATTCACTCAACAAAATAGGATTTTGCTTCTCCAGTTATAAAATGAAGGCAGTTCTCAAGGTCACAGATTAACAAAACAGTCAAAATGTTTCTTCTCTTTACTTTTCACAAGAGCGCAGAAGTTTTTTGAAATAAACTCTGTTCCTCACATTGATAAAGCCCTAGAGTCCAAAGGAAATATTTGTTTTTGTGCCTCCTTGGCTTCCTCTTAACCTACAAAGAGTTGAAGAGTGGAGAGTACTTTCAAAAAGAGATCAACTATAACTTCAGTGCCCAATAATCTGTGAGAGATCTGGAACAAGTGGCCTGCAGGGCTAGTTTTCATCCTAAAGATAAAATGATAAGAACCTGTTTAGTAAGGAAAAGAGTGAGTGAGTAATAAGCTAGAAATATAATGAAAATATTAAATGGTAGTAAGAATAAAAGCTCTCCAATAACTTTTGTGAAAACCTGAGTGACAGTTTTTATTTTAACTTACATTTTATCAGTTCCAAAGAGACTCTAACTAGACTTCCCTTTTCTGTCAACACACCCCCACTCTAGGTATGCTTATCTAGCCTTTAGCTTTGAATCTCTCTTTTCTGACAATTCCTCAAATTTGCATCTTCAGCCCAGACTTTGTTCCAGACACTAGACTCATATATTCATCCACCTACCCAACATCTCCACTTTATGTCTAACAGGCATCTCCTATCAACTTGTCCAAAAATGGATCCTGTTGTTCCTTCCCAGACCTGTTCCTCCCCCTGCCTTCCCCATCTCAGTTGATAGTGATTCCATCCCACTGACTCAGGACAAAACCCCCGACATCTTGGTCACTCTTTCACAAACCACAACCCATCTGTCAACAAATCCTATTGGCTGGAGCCTCAAGTCATATCTAGAATCCAACCACCTCCCATGACCTCTTCTAATACTAATCTGGTCTAAACCAACACGATCTTTTGCCTATGTTACTGCAACAGCCTCCTACCTGGTCTCCCTGCTTCCAGCCTTGCCTTCCTATGGTCCATTCTCAACCCCGAAGCCAGAACGATCCTTTTAAAAATATGAGTCAAATTAATGTGCTTTCTCTGCTCAGAATTCTTTAATGGCTTTGCATCTCACTTATAATAAAAGCCAAATTGTTTTAAATGTCAAATAAGGCCCTCCATGATTGGCCCCTCTCACGCCCCACTTATTCTTCTTCCCCGGCTCACTGTGCACTAGGGTCACTGGTTTCCTGACTATTCCTATAAGATGCCTCTTGACGTAGTGCTTTTGGACTTGCTCTTCTCTCTGCCAGGAACACACCCTCTCCCAATCCGCTCCACATCTGTGTGGCTCATTCCTCATGTCCTTTACCTTATAATTTCCCCAAATTAATTAAGGCCTTCCCTCACCACCCAATTTAGACGAATAAATACCATGTTCTGTCACTGCAGGTTCCTCTTCCCTATATTATTTTTCTCCAAAGTACTTATTGTCCCCAACATTAAATAAGTAAACGGACCTGTTTGTTCATTCACTTATTGTCCATCTTCCCCATTTAGAATGTAACTTCCATTAGAGCCGGAATTTTTTGGTCTATTTTGCATATTGCTATATTTCCAGTGCCCAGAATAGTCTCTGGCATATATAAATGGCCAAAACAGCACAGACCTTTTCATGAGTAAGGGAACAACAAAGGAGCCATTGGACCATAGTCAATTCACAGCCAAGCACTACCTGAGCAGGCAACAGAAAACATATGGAGAGCTTTGGAGAATGCACACATCTGTCCAGCCTGTTCCTGGTTCCCCAAGTTGTACTGGAAATTCTCCTGGGTGCAGAGCAGTGGCAGCAAACTTGAGGGTCTTTGGTCACCCTTGTCTCTACCTCAGGGGATTGATTCATCATTGCCTCATTAAAAGTGCAAGCTTTGGTGCCAGTCTGGCTTCATCATCTACTAACTTTTTGGGAGATTCTGGACAAGCTAGCCACGTTGAGTTTTGGTTTCCTTATCTGTAAAATAAAGATAATGCTAGCTATTTTTCATAGGAAATGCAATGAAGATTAAGTGAGCTAATACACAGAAATAAAGGGTAAATAAATATAAACTGTAATTGTATAAGAGAAAAACCTTGACTTGAGCCTACTAAGCACCGATAGTCATACGTTCTTTGTAATTGTTGGATACGTGCTCAGTCACAAATGGACAAACGACAGGTTGGTTACTACTGTAAGATTTATTGGCCTAAAAGAGGAGGGAATTGACAATTTTTTAGTGCCCTCAAGTGGGGTTACTTCATATACATGATTTTATTTCATGCTAATAAAAAATACTTGTGAGGTAAATATAACAATCACTTTAAAGTGATGTGTGGTTCAGAGAGTTTAAGTAACTTGCTGAAACTCACATGGTCATGTAGCTAAGAATTACAAAGCCATTTCCTAAACACCAAGCCATTCTTTTAGACTTTTAAAATTAACCTCTCTACCCATGATTTTTCAATGTGTTAAAGACAGCTATTCTACATAAAATGTAAATGGAAGGAACATTATAGTAGAAAGTAAAACAAAATAATTAGTAGAAAATGGGAAAAGTCTTATACAAAAGAATACATGCTGTATGATTCCATTTACATGAAATTCCACAACAGATAAAAGTAAGCTATAGTCATAAAATCAAAATAGTGATTGCCTCATGTGGATGTTTTGGGGACTGGTTGGGAAAAGGTGAAAGGAACGTACTGGTGAGATAGAAATCTCCTATATCTTGATAGTGGGTTTTAAGAAATCTCCTATATCTTGATAGTGTATGCATTTGTCAAAATTCATCAGACTGTATACTTAAGATCTGTGTTTCACTGTACATAAATTGCATTTAAAATTTACAAGTTTAAGTCAGAAAGAAAAATGAATTTTAGACTTGGAACCCAACTGAAAAATAATATCACTATTTATTATGATGATGGAGGTTTGGAAATCAAACTCATCTTTGAGATGAAGTGAAGTACACAACATTAAGTAACTTTTATGTTCCATACAACCGGGAGTGATGGAGCTGGGAATCAAACTCAGCCACGTGATTTACCACCTCAATACAGCTGTCTCTGAAAAGGACTTGTCATGACAATGATAAAGCTGAAAAGGGAAGATTTTGGTTCATTTGTTACAAATATATACCAAGTTTTCAGCGTCAGTGTCATGTGGATAAAGAGAATATATGAATCCTAAGTAGCCCATCTAGACTTTATTCAAAGAGGTACCTTAATAGGAAATTACAAGGAAAGTTAATAATCTACAGAACCATAGGGGTAGAAAGAAAAATGAGATTTTGACTCCTAAGCCCCAACACATTTCTTTATATTCATATTTGACCTTGCTTAAATAAAAAAAAAATTAATCTTATCTTTACAGGAATAAATGAAGTAAACATATGGCTTTGAATTGTAACAAAGAATGAACTTTATATTGAATAACCACCATAACCTAGATTAACTCATTTCAAATGAACTCCATTTAAAACTAACATGGAAGCTTTAACCATATTGTATGTGGCCTATTTTTAATGCATCTCTCTATAGACAGTAGTTTTTATTTAAGAGAGAGAAGCAAGAATAAAAGTATTCCAGAATAGTTAGGAGCCTTATGGCACATTATTTCCCAATAGTCCTTTTATTTAATTATTGAATTCTCTGTATCTTCCTTAGTAAGGCAAAATCCTAGGCAATTTACATTCACACAACCAAACAGTACATAGCCAACTTAGCATGCAGAGGGTTGCAAAAAGCAACTCTATGGATCAGGTAAGACATTAACCACCATAAAGAAACAACAAAAAATAAATAACAGAATCTTGCTTACCACACAGGCTTCTAACTGTAAAAACTTTCTTGATATTTATCTCGAATGAGACTATAAACAGAAAGACCTCTAAAGAGAAAAGCATTGATTTGGGTATAACTTTCATTGAAAGTTACATAATATAATTAATGGTAATACTGAAGAATCTAATTGGTGCATAGAACCAAAACTTCTGCAAAAACCCTAAACTACATTTCACAGGAGTTCAAGTCTTTTATAGGAGACCTTAGAACAGTGCTGCCCACTAGACCTTTCTGTGATCATGGAAATGTTCAGTATCTGCTCTGTCCAATACAGTAGCTGCTAACCACATGTGGAGTTGAGCACTTGAAATGTGCCTCCTGTGACTGAGGAACTAAATTTTAAATTTTATTTAATTTTAATTAATTTAAATTTACCTGCATGTGACAGCTACTATATTGGACAGTGCAGCCTTACAATAGGTTCAAAAAAATAGATAAACATTCAAAACTGACCTAATCTTTTTTTTAAAAAGCCCTGCTTATTCTGCCATTTCCCAAACTGACTTCTGAACATTAGACTTATGTCTGCATGGTTTAAAAAATCTTATTTGTTGTAGATACCTGCTGTTTCCGAAGGGGGATCTTACAGCCATGTCTGATAAAAGTTTGCCCATAATAAAATGGATTGTGACATTCAGAAACACTCTTACTCCTTCCCTTGACCCATGAGATTCCCAGAGCATAGCCTACAAAGTTGATGTATACCTTTATCTAATTCTTGGATTTTGAACCAAGAAAATAACAAGGTTTCCTGGTGGGTTTCTTAAGGAAAAAAAAAAAAACTAAAAAGGTCTGACAGTCTGGCCTCCCTTTGGCAAGAACTTATTTCTCTTACTAGCGCATTTCTTCCATGTGGTTTGCTCCGCCACATGCTGTAATGCTATAGCATTATAATCCTCTAGATTTCTACCATCTCCCAAATAAATGTAGTCATTGGTGGAAACCAATCATGGAATCTATGTAGTGAAATTCACTTCAACTAACCAAAGCATTAAGCTTTGATTATGAACAAGGCCATAAATGTAGCTAGAGATAGAATGTGGATTTCATGTAATCCACTAGTAATAACTGCCAGAAGCAGTTGTTAATCAATTAATAATGTCCTGAGATGCCTTGATGTACATTTAGGCTTAGTAGAAAATCATATTGTAATCATATAGTAATATCTTCCATGGGCTCACAAATAGGGATTTGTGGCTTCTGTGCTGTGTATCTGCCATCCCTCTAGAAGGCAATGTAAGGATACACAACTGAGTAAAACGGAATCGAAATACATTTGCCACTAAATATCCTACAATGGAGCATGGTAGGTACAATAGGAGAACAGAGATAATAGAGATCAGTTGCAATTGGAAATATTGTGAATGGCATCATGGAAGAGGTGGCATTTCAGCTGGGTCTCCAAAGAATGGTGGATTGAGGAATAAATAAGGAGAGCAAAGGCATTGCCAGCAATAACAGACACAGGAATGCACAGCATGTCAGAGGAAGGGCAAATGTTGTGTGACAAGGGCAGAGAGGGATTACACTAAAAGATAATACTAAAAAGGTAACGTGGAGACAGATCCCAAAGGCACTGCATGCCATGCTTTGGAGACTGTTTTGTAGTGATAGGCAGCCAGCAAAGTTTTTGAGCAAAGTTCTAGCATGGTCAAAACTGTATTTCAGGAAGATAAGTTTGGCTGCCATGAGCAGGATGGATAGGTGAAATAAGATGTCAAAGGTAACATGTTATTCTATTAATTTATTTATAATATGAGCTTCACAAATTTCCAAATTTGGGTTGAGAAGCCTTACTATTCAATCACTGTTGGTTGCTATTTTAACAACCATTTTTTCTTCTTTATTAGTTTATAAATTCTTAATCTTGTTCAGATAGCAAAATGAACAACAAAATTCACCTTACTTTAAAGACATCTTATCTCAGAAAGATAAGGGCCTTTCACCTTATCTCAAAAGTTGAATCATTATTGGCCTCTAAAATCCATTGCCCAGCCAGGGCAGGCACAGTGGTTTATGCCTGTAATCCCAGCTCTTTGGAAGGCTGAGGCAGGAGGACTGCTTGAGGCCAGAAGTTCAACATCATCCTGGGCAGCACAGTGAGACTCTGTCTCTAAAAAGAATTTAAAAAATATTAGTTAGGTGTGGTAGTGTATACCTGTAGTCCTAGCTACTAGGGAGGCTGAGATGGGAGGATCGCTTGACCCTAGGAGTTTGAGGTTGCAGTGAGCTATGATCACACCACTGCCCTTCAGCCTAG
This sequence comes from Homo sapiens, assembly GCF_000001405.40. Taxonomy (NCBI): domain Eukaryota; kingdom Metazoa; phylum Chordata; class Mammalia; order Primates; family Hominidae; genus Homo; species Homo sapiens. The sequence continues at coordinate 132,812,561 of NC_000003.12, read as the reverse complement.
GGACAGGGTGACACCATGACAAGCAAGCAAGAGAAAGAAAGAAAAGAAAAGAAAAGAAGAGCAGAGGAGAGGAGAGGAAAGAAAAGGAAAGAAAAGAAAAGAAAAGAAAAGAAAAGAAAAGAAAAGAAAAGAAAAGAAAAGAAAAGAAAAGGAAAAGAAAAGAAAAGAAAAGAACCCATTGCCCTTTGCTAGTGATTGATTTGGGAGAGTCTCATTTCTGGCCAAAGAAACATTAAGTGAAGTCTTCTGGAAGGACTTTGGATATGGCTTTTCCCCCTGATAAAATCATAAATGGAAAAGAGACCTATTCCTTCTTACTGCCTAGAAAACACCTATGTGAGGATGTGATGTCTGGAGCAGTGGCAGCCACCTTGCAACCATGAGACAACAAACTAAGGTTGAAAACATAACACATAGGAAAATGGCAGAAGGAAAAGATAACAAAAATATGGGTCCTTGATACATACATATATTTATATTATCATATATATTTATATTACATATATTATTATATATATATATATATATATATATATATATATATATACACTCCTTGGCAAAAGGAAACCCCTAAGATTTGTAAGCTTTAACCCATATTCACCCTGGCTCTTTGCTTGGCAGCATTTTTCTGACCACAATGCAAGGAGATGAAATGTAAGCTGAGAGCATCAGAGAGAACAAAGGGCATTAGAGAGAATAAAGTTGACTGGCTGTGAAGTAGGTAGGGGAAAGTCCGTGTGGGTCTTCCTTGGGTTATTGGTTGAAGGCTAGGCTGCACATGTCTGGGGAAAGACCCAATGATATCTAATAGAGAGTGGCTGCTACAGGGATGTAAATTGAAGTTTGAATTAGTCAAGGTTCTCCAGAGACACACAACAAATAGGATGGATAGATAAATAGGTAGATGGATGGATAGATGACAGATAGATAGATAGACAGATAGATAGATAGATAGATAGATAGATAGATAGATAGATAAAGAGGAGTTTATTAGGAGAATTGGCACACACAATTCTGAAGGCTGAGAAGTCCCATAACAGGCTATCTACAAGCTGGAGACCCTGGGATGCCATTAGTATGGCTCAATGCAAGCCTAAAAGCCTGAGAAACTGGGGGGCCACTGGTGTAAATACTGGAATCCAAAAGCTGGATAAGCCTGGAGTTCTGATGTCCAAAAGCAAGAGAAGAGTATATCCTAGCTCCAGGATGACAGAGACCAATTTATCTTTTCTCTGTTTTTGTTCTATCCAGGTCCCCAGCCAACAGGATTGTGACACTCCTTCCCCTACCACACACACACACATACACACATTTAAAGTATATATCTGAAAGAATCGAAAGCAAGGACTCGAGCATATATTTGTACATTTGTGTTCATAGAAGCATTATTCACAATAGCCAAAAGGTGGAAGCAACTCGTGTTACTTCCATCAATAGATGGTAATTCAATATTGTTGCATCCATCAATAGATGAAAGGATAAACAAAATATGGTATATACATACAATGGAATATTATTCAGCCTTAAAAAAAAAGAAATCCTGGCTGGGCGCAGTGGCTCATGCCCATAATCCCAACACTTTGGGAGGCAAGGCAGGCAGATCATCTGAGGTCAGGAGTTCAAGACTAGCCTGGCCAATGTGGTGAAACCCCGTCTCTACTAAAAAATGCAAAAATTAGCTAGGGGTGGTGGCGGATGCCTGTGATCCCAGCTACTCAGGAGGCTGAGATAGGAGAATTGCTTGAACCCAGGAGACAGAGTTTGCAGTGAGTCAAGATCATGCCACTGCACTCCAGCCTGGGCAACAGAGCGAGACTCCATCTCAAAAAAAAAAAAAAAAAAAAAAAAAGAAATTCTGACACATTCTATAACATGGATGAACCCTAAAGACACCATGCTAAGTAGAATATGCCAGCCACAAAAGAACAAATGCTGTATGATTCCTCTTAAATGAGGTCTTATAATAGTCAAAATCATAGAGAAAGAAAGTAAAATGGTAGTTGCCAGGGTTGAAGAATTGGGAAGTTTGTGTTTCATGGTACAGTTTCAGCTTAGGAAAAAAAACGTTCTGGAGATGGGGTGTGGGTGAGGGTTGCACAAAAATGTAAATGCACTTCATTCCACTGAACTGTACACTTAAAATGGTGAAAATGATAAGTCTTGTGTTACATATATTTAGCCACAAAATCTGGCACTTATAGTAGCACTAAAATGTGATTGTGTATCTATATATAATTAAATATATATGTATGGAATAAATTCAGCAAAGACATATATACCAAAATGTATAAAACATTGCTGACAGAAATTAAAGAAGACCTAAGTAAAAGCAGTAAAAAGAATAATGTTGTAACCTCATCCTGCCTGATTTCAAAACTTATTATAAAGGTACAGCAATCAAGACAGTGTGGTATTGGTAGATACAAAAATAGATTAATGGAACAGATTTGAGAGTCCAGAAATAGACCACACATTTATTATATTCAATTGATTTTGAACAAGGAAGTTAAGGTAATTCAATGCTGGTAAATCTGAATAAGTAGTTTGAAAAATATGAACATCCCCTTTATCATTTTTTATTGTGTCTATTTGATTCTTCTCTCTTTTTTTCTTTATTAGTCTTGCTAGCCACCGATCCCACAGAAATACAAACTACCATCAGAGAATACTACAAACACCTCTACGCAAATAAACTAGAAAATCTAGAAGAAATGGATACATTCCTCGACACATACACTCTCCCAAGACTAAACCAGGAAGAAGTTGAATCTCTGAATAGACCAATAACAGGCTCTGAAATTGTGGCAATAATCAATAGTTTACCAACCAAAAAGAGTCCAGGACCAGATGGATTCACAGCCGAATTCTACCAGAGGTACAAGGAGGAACTGGTACCATTCCTTCTGAAACTATTCCAATCAATAGAAAAAGAGGGAATCCTCCCTAACTCATTTTATGAGGCCAGCATCATTCTGATACCAAAGCCGGGCAGAGACACAACCAAAAAAGAGAATTTTAGACCAATATCCTTGATGAACATTGATGCAAAAATCCTCAATAAAATACTGGCAAACCGAATCCAGCAGCACATCAAAAAGCTTATCCACCATGATCAAGTGGGCTTCATCCCTGGGATGCAAGGCTGGTTCAATATACGCAAATCAATAAATGTAATCCAGCATATAAACAGAGCCAAAGACAAAAACCACATGATTATCTCAATAGATGCAGAAAAAGCCTTTGACAAAATTCAACAACCCTTCATGCTAAAAACTCTCAATAAATTAGGTATTGATGGGACGTATTTCAAAATAATAAGAGCTATCTATGACAAACCCACAGCCAATATCATACTGAATGGGCAAAAACTGGAAGCATTCCCTTTGAAAACTGGCACAAGACAGGGATGCCCTCTCTCACCGCTCCTATTCAACATAGTGTTGGAAGTTCTGGCCAGGGCAATCAGGCAGGAGAAGGAAATAAAGGGTATTCAATTAGGAAAAGAGGAAGTCAAATTGTCCCTGTTTGCAGACGTCATGATTGTTTATCTAGAAAACCCCCTCGTCTCAGCCCAAAATCTCCTTAAGCTGATAAGCAACTTCAGCAAAGTCTCAGGATACAAAATCAATGTACAAAAATCACAAGCATTCTTATACACCAACAACAGACAAACAGAGAGCCAAATCATGGGTGAACTCCCATTCACAATTGCTTCAAAGAGAATAAAATACCTAGGAATCCAACTTACAAGGGATGTGAAGGACCTCTTCAAGGAGAACTACAAACCACTGCTCAAGGAAATAAAAGAGGACACAAACAAATGGAAGAACATTCCATGCTCATGGGTAGGAAGAATCAATATCGTGAAAATGGCCATACTGCCCAAGGTAATTTACAGATTCAATGCCATCCCCATCAAGCTACCAATGACTTTCTTCACAGAATTGGAAAAAACTACTTTAAAGTTCATATGGAACCAAAAAAGAGCCCGCATTGCCAAGTCAATCCTAAGCCAAAAGAACAAAGCTGGAGGCATCACACTACCTGACTTCAAACTATACTACAAGGCTACAGTAACCAAAACAGCATGGTACTGGTACCAAAACACAGATATAGATCAATGGAACAGAACAGAGCCCTCAGAAATAATGCCGCATATCTACAACTATCTGATCTTTGACAAACCTGACAAAAACAAGCAATGGGGAAAGGATTCCCTATTTAATAAATGGTGCTGGGAAAACTGGCTAGCCATATGTAGAAAGCTGAAACTGGATCCCTTCCTTACACCTTATACAAAAATCAATTCAAGATGGATTAAAGATTTAAACGTTAAACCTAAAACCATAAAAACCCTAGAAGAAAACCTAGGCATTACCATTCAGGACATAGGCGTGGGCAAGGACTTCATGTCCAAAACACCAAAAGCAATGGCAACAAAAGACAAAATTGACAAATGGGATCTAATTAAACTAAAGAGCTTCTGCACAGCAAAAGAAACTACCATCAGAGTGAACAGGCAACCTACAACATGGGAGAAAATTTTCGCAACCTACTCATCTGACAAAGGGCTAATATCCAGAATCTACAATGAACTCAAACAAATTTACAAGAAAAAAACAAACAACCCCATCAAAAAGTGGGCGAAGGACATGAACAGACACTTCTCAAAAGAAGACATTTATGCAGCCAAAAAACACATGAAGAAATGCTCATCATCACTGGCCATCAGAGAAATGCAAATCAAAACCACTATGAGATATCATCTCACACCAGTTAGAATGGCAATCATTAAAAAGTCAGGAAACAACAGGTGCTGGAGAGGCTGCGGAGAAATAGGAACACTTTTACACTGTTGGTGGGACTGTAAACTAGTTCAACCATTGTGGAAGTCAGTGTGGCGATTCCTCAGGGATCTAGAACTAGAAATACCATTTGACCCAGCCATCCCATTACTGGGTATATACCCAAATGAGTATAAATCATGCTGCTATAAAGACACATGCACACGTATGTTTATTGTGGCACTATTCACAATAGCAAAGACTTGGAACCAACTCAAATGTCCAACAATGATAGACTGGATTAAGAAAATGTGGCACATATACACCATGGAATACTATGCAGCCATAAAAAATGATGAGTTCATATCCTTTGTAGGGACATGGATGAAATTGGAAACCATCATTCTCAGTAAACTATCGCAAGAACAAAAAACCAAACACCGCATATTCTCACTCATAGGTGGGAATTGAACAATGAGATCACATGGACACAGGAAGGGGAATATCACACTCTGGGGACTGTGGTGGGGTCGGGGGAGGGGGGAGGGATAGCATTGGGAGATATACCTAATGCTAGATGACACATTAGTGGGTGCAGCGCACCAGCATGGCACATGTATACATATGTAACTAACCTGCACAATGTGCACATGTACCCTAAAACTTAGAGTATAATAAAAAAAAAAAAAGAAAGAAAAATATGAACATTAGCTGAATTATAAACCTAAATGCAAAAGCTTCTAGTGTCTGCAATGCCAAGGAGAAGGATATGAGTCCTAGTTATCTAGGCCCAGTCAAGACAAAAATAACTAATCCAAGTTTCAACAGCCGTAACTATCAGCACCAAACATGAACAGAACACCCAGGGATGGAGCCTGAAGCTCAAGTGCAAGTGGCAGCTGGGACCAAGCACTCTCTAGCTAAGACCAGAGACGATCCAAGAGAAACTGAAGGGACACTTTTTTTGTCTCTGAGACTATCATGCCACACAAGTGACATTTTTTCTTTATTATACCCAAGTAGCATTTTGGAGAGGAAAAGAGGGATGAAGAAGAAATCTGAGATGCTGAGCATTTACATGAAGGGGCCACGTGGTAGAGTAACAGAAATGGCTACTGCCATCCCTTCTTTGAATCTATGCCCTTTGTAACATGACTTTGAAGCTCCTCCCATTGGGCAAATAATCCAGCAGACTGAATAGCAAGAGCAAAGGCCCTAAGGCAAGAAGGAGCTTAGCCGTGTTGAAGAAACACAGAGAAGGCCAGTGTTGCCGAGAAGAGGGTCAGGGGAGTGATATAAGGTGAAGTCTGAGAGGTAAGACAGCAACAGAACACATATAGCTATAACACATATAGCCTTTCAGACTAGGAAATCCCCTGTTAACAGCAGAAGGATCAAAACGTAAACCATGGTAGCCTGCTCTCCCACCGCTGTGTACAGCTGGACCTATTGTTAAAATATTAAAATGCTTTCATTCCAGTTGGTAAATAGCTATTGTGCTGATCTCCCCAAAGTGTCCCAACAGTTCTGGCCAATGATGCCCCTCCACCAGGACACTAAACCTCCCATGATCCTATAATTTAAGGTTTCAGGGCACATAGAGGCCTCTAACACTCTGATCAAGTGTCATGGCCGTATAAGTGATTAAGGATTTCCAACATCACTCCCAGGCAAAAGGCAGAGCATTTCTTTATCTACATCTTAATGAAATTCTGAACAAGCATTAATTCATTTAATGAATAAATATTCGTTAAACTCCAACTATGGGTCAGGAGGTATCACAGGCATTGAGGATGAGTGAGAGTAAACAAACCAGTTTCTGCCCTCGCAAAGCTTAGAGTGTAGCATTCAGGCAAATTATAGCCTTCAGGTAGCAACTTTTAGGCAGTGGTTCTCAACTTGGACTCCAGAATGCCGGCTGGGTTTGGTGGCTCATGCTTGTAATCCCAGCACTTTGGGAGGCTGAGGCAGGAGGATCACTTGAGGTCAGGAGTTTGAGATCAGCCTGGGCAACATAGCAAGAGCCCATCCCTACAAAAATTAACAACAAATAATGAAAAAGTACTGATGCTTGGGTCCCATTTCCAGAGGGTCTGATTTAATTGCTCTGAGGTGTGGCCAGGACGTTGGAAGTTTTTTAAGTTCCCCAGGTGATTCAATGTGCAGCCAGGGCAAAGAACCTCTCTCTTAGAGACATGTGATCTGATGTGGATAACAGATTGAATTTTTAGTAGAATCTACAGATGTAAACCAACGGTTAAGTTTTCGCTGCATGTTAACTAATAAAAAAAATCAAGATGAAAGTGATTTCCTTAAAGATCTTTGTCAAAGAATGCTAAAGGCTGTCTTTGGAGAACGGTGTTCTGTTAAAAGGGCAGTCCTGACCCAACATTAGCCAAGCCAACTAATTGTATTCTGCCAATATATAGCAGAACTCTGGGCTTTTTGAAATTGAATTCCTCAAGAGAAGGAATTTTAAATATGAACTCTCCTCCTACACCCCCTCCCTCCAGACTAGTACCTTCTCAAACTGCATTCCCCACCCAAAACTAGCTATCAGCCTGAGGAATAGGCATATGCTGAGAACTCCATGCCACAGGTAAGGATGACAGCCCCAGGGGTGAAGAACCAAGACCCAGGGTATTGAGACCACTTTTCAGATAGATTTCTTTACTCTCTGTTTTCCAGTTTCTTCCCTACACTGCTCATCAAGTGGCAAATGTTCAGGATGAAATAGAATCAGAAATACCTCCAAAAGGTTTGACCCAATGGAGAGTCCATGGGAACTATGGGAAGGGAAACATACCTCAAATGCTGGGCTGCAGCATAAGTATTTTCTAGATTCTCTGGGTCACAGAGAGGCAGCAAAGCACATTCTAGGGCAACAAATATGCTCAGTGCTAGCTCTTGATTATTCATTCTAATGAAGGGGAACAATCATGTGGGCTTTCCAAAATAGTGGCTGCTTTTAATGAGTGGTTTGGCTTTGACTCTGGAAATCACCACTAGGTAAATCATAAAAGCACCCAGCAAGTTTGAGCATATTTCAGCTGGGCAGTGTGGAATGTGGCCAGGAATGTGAGACAGAATGTGGCTCAGGATTTCAAAATTCACTGGAAAAAAACTCACAAAACAGAAACATTTCAGTGGAAATAACAGAGTCCTATATTATGATTTAGACAACAAGAATTCTTGCCTCTGATCTATTGTGACCAAGTGTGTCATCTTAGGTAAGTAACTTTTCTGTGCTTTGGTTTCCTCATTTTTAAAATGAGGGCACTGGACTTAAATGCTCTCCAGTAGGATGGCTGGGTAAAATGGAATTTCATATCTCTGTGTGAGAAAGAAAGAAAATGCTGAGATGTAGAGCCTGAAGATTGCTGGGGTGAGAAGGGGAGTAGTCAAATTTGCATTTGGAGCCCAAGACTCTCCTAGAGGAAGGGATCAAGACCCCTACACTTTGTCTCTAAAATTAAAACTAGTCAGGGTGGACTAGGGGTGGCCCTGAGCAAGGCCTGGAGTCAGGAAAGGGCCACGAGATCCTAAGATAAGCCCTTACCAAAGAGAAAACATAGGATCACCAGTCCAGCCTCTGCAGACTTAGGCGTTTGAAAAGGAATGTGCTTTGGGAGCTGTAAGACAGTGCACACTGGGTCTAGACCCAACCCGAGAATCAGATGGCAGATTTGAGTCCTAGAGAAGTGGCTATGTGAGTGAATTGAATCTAATGATGGGAGGCCAGGCCAGGTCTCACAGGAGCCCTCTCCTGGCTGAACTTAACCAAAGGCTGGGGATCTTCTCTCTGGCTCCCTAGAAAAGAACAGTCGTCCAAGGCAGGGTCTACACAAGCAGCTTCCTCTGGAGCCACCAGCTTCTTGTGGGGCATCAGAGACACTCCTGGTGTCTGAGTTGAGACATCAGGATTTGAAATGGAAGTGGCCAGAACTGGCCCTAGGAATATCAGGGGAGGGGGCTCCCAAAGAAAAGCAGTTTCCTGTTCATTTGGCATGTGAGGCTCACGTGTTGCACTTTGGGACCTCTCCTGAGCAGTGCCTTATTTGCATTCCAAACTATAAACTGCGGCACTCTGGTTACAGACCTATAAGAACCCTTAGAACTCTAATATGCTATGATTTTAGTGTATGATTCAAAACAGCACTTAAAGACTGACTTTAATTCAGAGTTAACACATAACTCTATCCATAAGTTTGTAGTCACTGGTACTCCTGTCTAAAAAAATGAGAAGTGCAAACTGAGAATCCATCTAGGATCATTAAATAGCTTAAAATTTACACAGAAGTTGTATCACTGCTAACAATCCATGAATTCCTCTAAGTACAGTTATTAAAGATTGTTAAAGGCCAGGCGCGGTGGCTCATGCCTGTAATCTCAGCATTCTGGGAGGCCGAGGTGGGCGGATCACGAGGTCAGGAGATGGAGACCATCCTGGCTAACATGGTGAAACCCCGTCTCTACTAAAAATACAAAAAAATTAGCTGGGCGTGGTGGTGGGCGCCTGCAGTCCCAGCTACTCGGGAGGCTGAGGCAGGAGAATGGCGTGAACCTGGGAGGCGGAGCTTGCAGTGAGCAGTGAGCGTAGATTGTGCCACTGCACTCCAGCCTGGGCGACAGAGCGAGACTCTGTCTCAAAAAAAAAAAAAAAAAAGATTGTTAAAGTGAAATCTGGGAATACAAAAGATAATTATACAGTTGGATATCTAATCTAAAAGTCTTTCTGATAGAGGGCAGAATTGTGTGTGCAAAATACAAGGGCGTTACGCTGAAATTGATGCGGAAACACATGCTTGCTTTAGTAAAAGATGATCATTACTGTTTAATATTGCCCTAACCAATAAACATCAGCATTGTAAATGGACATACCATCCGACCCAGCAATTTTACTTGTAGACATTTATCCTGATGAAATGTTGCACGTATATACAAAATAAATGTACAAGAATGTTCACTGTTGCAACACGGATAGCAGGGAAAAAATGGGAAGAATTAAAATGCTCAATAATAAGAGATTAGTTAAATAAATTATCAGTAATCCCTATGCTGAAATACCAGAAATAGTCAAATATATCTTTATAGCAAATAAATAATTTTACATTAACTAATGTTTCTATCGCTTACAGTTTGTTTGTTTACCCTACATCTGCTTCCAGGTTTAAAACAAATATATATTGAAGCTAAGCCCTTCTTTGTTTCAGGGAGGTATGGTCGTGAAGAGCACCGATTACAGAAGGAGAATTGCAACTGCTTTGCACCAAAGACAAGAGGCCAAAAGAAAGGCATTCCTCATCTTGAAAGCCTAGTTTTGAAATCCCAGAGCCAAAATTTGGACCCAAAGTGATAGATTTTTGAAAGCCTGCATGTTGAAGGTAAAGCCATTATATTTGGTTAATTCATAAACTTACTTAGGCAAAAAAAAAAAAAAAAAAAAAAAAATCCCTAAATGAATAAGGAGCCAAGAGAGTAATGAGAGCAGTGGAAGGGGTTTCACTCTGATGCCAGTTGCTGTATACTGGGTGAACTTGAACATCAGTGTTCCTAGCCTCTCAGGTCTCTGAGAACAGATAACAAAGTCTAGGTCTTGAAAGTCTAACATGACTCCCAACCCCCACCTCCACTGAGCAAGTCTCCAAAGGGCTGCATTTTCAATATAAGGGTAAACTAGAAATAAACCTAACCCCTAGTTTCTTTTAAAGGAGGCTTTAAAGAAAATTGCCCAGACTCAAACCTTGATGGTGGGAGGAAGGAGAAAAATGTCCCACATGAGCATTCATAATCATGAACCATCCCTTACAGGAATTTACAACAAAATTCCGAAACTTGTAAGCTGATAATTCACAGTAGTTCCAGAGCAGTAGTATCACCAAGGAATTTAATAAAGGCAGATAAACTTTCTTTCTGGAGGAACTCATCTTCATCCTAGGCCTCAAAAAAATTTTCACAGATCAAGAAAAATAAACGGTATAAATAAATAAATTTTTAAAACCATAAAACAACCAAGGAAACAAGGTACCAGGAGAGAGGACCAGAAATAAAATCAGCAGCAAAATGAAATCCATGTAAAACTTCCAATGTTAGAGTCATTATGTAAGTTTTATATTTGAAGGACAAAAGAAAGGCTTGAAAATATGAGGAAAGAAAAAGTAGGCTTGATACTGGAATAAGTCTCTGAGAAGGGCAACTCACCCTGTTCTCATCTGTGGTATAAACCCCAAAGGGGAAAAATAAAACACTTGAATAATCTGGAAAACCCAAAAGTAACCATCTTGTGTGGGGAGCACACAAAGATTTATGTAATATATATTTATCTACCAGTCCTCCAGCTCGCCTCCCCTTAGGCGAGAAGAGTTAGACCCAAGCTATAAATGGAAGCTATTCAAAAACCTCAACACCTGTACATTGGAATGTTTTATGTTACAGTTAGACTTCCATAAATAAGAAAATCAGTTGATGCATGCTGAAATCGAACCATGAGATTTCTTGATTTTTTCTTTCCCTTGTGAGTGCACAAAACCGAAACTAAACAGCAAAACATAACTACCAGGATCTAATAGTTAATGAGAAGATACTGTTTCAGCATACCAGCAATCACATTTCCACTCTATTCATGGAACATGACCAATCCAAATAATAAGGTCAACTACTGCCTTTATGAATAACATTCCAATGTTAGCAGCCTTACCATTGGGTTTATATATATAAGAATCACAATTTTCACAGTTCTTTAAAACCTTGCTATTCAAGCTATGTTCCTTGGATAGCAAAACAGGCATCACCTGATCAAAAAGCAAAATCTGAGCAGCAACTCGGAGGCTCAGGTAGGAGAGCAGCGCTTGAGTCCAGGAGTTTGAGACCAGCCTGAGCAACATAGCAAGACCCTGACTCTACAAAAAAATTAAAAAATTAGTCAGATGTAGTGGCACATGCCTGTAATCCCAGCTACATGAAAGGATGAAGCAGGAGGATTGCTTGAGCCCAGGATTTCTAGGCTGCAGTGTGTTATGATTGTGCCAATGCACTCCAGCCTGAATGACAGAGCAAGACTCTGTCTTTAAAAAGAAAAAAAGAAAGAAAAAAATGTAGACTCTCAAGAGCCACCCCAGAACTACTAAACTAGAACCTGCATTTTAAAAAGATCTTCAGATGATTTGTATGCCTGTTCAAATTTGAGAAGCACTGGTCTAAGTATTCTCACTGTCCTACCTAACAGGTGGTACACATGCTTTTAGAGAAATAAATGTGTATGTATACATTTTTTTAACTTTTCGTTTTGAAATAACTTCAGACTTATGAAAAAGTTGCAAGATAATAACAAGTTTGGCCCCAAATATGTACATCTTCCATACTATAGTACAATTATCGAATAAGAACTGATTCAATAGTATTATTACAGACCTTATTTAAATTTCACCAAATGTCCTACTGATGTCCTTTTTTTGTGGTCCAGGACTCAATCCAGGATGACACATTGCCTTTAGTTATCAAGCCTCCTTAGTCTCATTAATCTGCAACAGCCTAGAGCAGTGCTGTCCAGTTGAACTTTCTGTGATGATGGAAAAATTTTATAACTGCACTGTTCGATACAGTGGCTACTAGCCATACATGTGGCTACTGCAACAAAGAAACTGAATGTTTAAATTGTAATTAATTTTAATTAATGTAAATTTAAAGTTAAATAGAGGATCTTATTGTTTTAACATACAAAACAAATATTTCAGCTGGGAAAACCCAGTTCCAAAATCTCTCTAAAGCAAAGCATAATGAACAGTCCTTTCATAAGCATGCAAGGGGAGCACTTAAACAAGCATAGTCATAATTCTGCTTGGCAGGGCACACAGACTCTTCATTTAGCCCAATCCAGTCTCTCTTACTGCGCCACCTGCCCTATCGCTCCACCACCAGTGCCCCCACTGCCCCACCACGATGAACCCCTCACCATGCCTTGAATGGTACCAGTCAATCACATGGCCAGGCCTTTACTCATGGATGGGTTCCTCTACCACATAGGCAAGGTGACCATGTAATGCATTAATCAGCTGGTGCTCATTTGATCAAGAAAAGGAATGCTGTTAATAATTACATGGAAATAACCTGGACTGTTCTGGGAAAACAGGGACACCCTACTTATGGATCTTTCCCCCCAGGTAAACTCATTTTCTCATGGGCCAAAGACACATGTCCACTTTTAACAGATAAGAATTTTGTGCCAGTTTTCAAAGGGAATGCTTCCAGTTTTTGCACATTCAGTATGATATTGGCTGTGGGTTTGTCATAGATAGCTCTTATTATTTTGAGATACGTCCCATCAATACCTAATTTATTGAGAGTTTTTAGCATGAAGCGTTGTTGAATTTTGTCAAAGGCCTTTTCTGCATCTATTGAGATAATCATGTGGTTTTTGTCTTTGGTTCTGTTTATATGCTGGATTACATTTATTGATTTGCATACATTGAACCAGCCTTGCATCCCAGGGATGAAGCCCACTTGATCATGGTGGATAAGCTTTTTGATGTGCTGCTGGATTCGGTTTGCCAGTATTTTATTGAGGATTTTTGCATCAATGTTCATCAAGGATATTGGTCTAAAATTCTCTTTTTTGGTTGTGTCTCTGCCCGGCTTTGGTATCAGGATGATGCTGGCCTCATAAAATGAGTTAGGGAGGATTCCCTCTTTTTCTACTGATTGGAATAGTTTCAGAAGGAATGGTACCAGTTCTTCCTTGTACCTCTGGTAGAATTCGGCTGTGAATCCATCTGGTCCTGGACTCTTTTTGGTTGGTAAGCTATTGATTATTGCCACAATTTCAGCTCCTGTTATTGGTCTATTCGGAGATTCAATTTCTTCCTGGTTTAGTCTTGGGAGAGTGTATGTGTCAAGGAATTTATCCATTTCTTCTAGATTTTGCAGTTTATTTGCATAGAGGTGTTTGTAGTATTCTCTGATGGTAGTTTGTATTTCTGTGGGATAGGTGGTGATATCCCCTTTATCATTTTTTATTGCGTCTATTTGATTCTTCTCTCTTTTTTTCTTTATTAGTCTTGCTAGTGGTCTATCAATTTTGTTGATCCTTTCAAAAAACCAGCTCCTGGATTCATTAATTTTTTCAAGAGTTTTTTTTTGTCTCTATTTCCTTCAGTTCTGCTCTGATTTTAGTTATTTCTTGCCTTCTGCTAGCTTTTGAATGTGTTTGCTCTTGCTTTTCTAGTTCTTTTAATTGTGATGTTAGGATGTCAATTTTGGATCTTTCCTGCTTTCTCTTGTGGGCATTTAGTGCTATAAATCTCCCTCTACACACTGCTTTGAATGTGTCCCAGAGATTCTGGTATGTTGTGTCTTGGTTCTCGTTGGTTTCAAAGAACATCTTTATTTCTGCCTTCATTTCGTTATGTACCCAGTAGTCATTCAGGAGCAGGTTGTTCAGTTTCCATGTAGTTGACCGGTTTGGAGTGAGTTTCTTAATCCTGAGTTCTTGTTTGATTGCACTGTGGTCTGAGAGACAGTTTGTTATAATTTCTGTTCTTTCACATTTGCTGAGGAGGGCTTTACTTCCAAGTATGTGGTCAATTTTGGAATAGGTGTGGTGTGGTGCTGAAAAAAATGTATATTCTGTTGATTTGGGGTGGAGAGTTCGGTAGATGTCTATTAGGTCCGCTTGGTGCAGAGCTGAGTTCAATTCCTGGGTATCCTTGTTAACTTTCTGTCTCATTGATCTGTCTAATGTTGACAGTGGGGTGTTAAAGTCTCCCATTATTATTGTGTGGGAGTCTCTCTTTGTAGGTCACTCAGGACTTGCTTTATGAATCTGGGTGCTCCTGTATTGGGTGCATATACATTTAGGATAGTTAGCTTTTCTTGTTGAATTGATCCCCTTACCATTATGTAATGGCCTTCTTGGTCTCTTTTGATCTTTGTTGGTTTAAAGTCTGTTTTATCAGAGACTAGTGTTGCAACCCCTGCCTTTTTTTGTTTTCCATTTCCTTGGTAGGGATGCCCTCTCTCACCACTCCTATTCAACATAGTGTTGGAAGTTCTGGCCAGGGCAATTAGGCAGGAGAAGGAAATAAAGGGTATTCGATTAGGAAAAGAGGAAGTCAAATTGTCCCTGTTTGCAGATGACATGATTGTATATCTAGAAAACCCCACTGTCTCAGCCCAAAATCTCCTTCAGCTGATAAGCAACTTCAGCAAAGTCTCAGCATACAAAATCAATGTACAAAAATCACAAGCATTCTTATACACCAATAACAGACAAACAGAGAGCCAAATCATGAGTGAACTCCCATTCACAATTGCTTCAAAGAGAATAAAATACTTAGGAATCCAACTTACAAGGGACGTGAAGGAACTCCTCAAGGAGAACTACAAACCACTGCTCACTGAAATAAAAACGGATACAAACAAATGGAAGAACATTCCATGCTCATGGGTAGGAAGAATCAATATAGTGAAAATGGCCATACTGCCCAAGGTAATTTATAGATTCAATGCCATCCCCATCAAGCTACCAATGCCTTTCTTCACAGAATTGGAAAAAACTACTTTAAAGTTCATATGGAACCAAAAAAGAGCCCACATCGCCAAGTCAATCCTAAGCCAAAAGAACAAAGCTGGAGGCATCACGCTACCTGACTTCAAACTACACTACAAGGTTACAGTAACCAAAACAGCATGGTACTGGTACCAAAACAGAGATATAGATCGCTGGAACAGAACAGAGCCCTCAGAAATAACGCCGCATATCTACAACTATCTGATCTTTGACAAACCTGACAAAAACAAGCAATGGGGAAAGGATTCCCTATTTAATAAATGGTGCTGGGAAAACTGGCTAGCCATATGTAGAAAGCTGAAACTGGATCCCTTCCTTACACCTTATACAAAAATTAATTCAAGATTGATTAAAGACTTAAATGTTAGACCTAAAACCATAAAAACCCTAGAAGAAAACCTCGGCAATACCATTCAGGACATAGGCATGGGCAAGGACTTCATGTCTAAAACACCAAAAGCAATGGCAACAAAAGCCAAAATTGACAAATGGGATCTAATTAAACTAAAGAGCTTCTACACAGCAAAAGAAACTACCATCAGAGTGAACAGGCAACCTACAAAATGGGAGAAAATTTTCACAATCTACTCATCTGACAAAGGGCTAATATCCAGAATCTACAATGAACTCAAACAAATTTACAAGAAAAAAACAAACGACCCCATCAAAAAGTGGGCAAAGGATATGAACAGACACTTCTCAAAAGAAGACATTTATGCAGCCAAAAGAC